>NC_000003.12:170372240-170523755 GCF_000001405.40 Homo sapiens | reverse complement strand
AATCAAACTCTCCTATATCTTCATCCTTTTAAATACACGGTCCTTTTCTCCTTCTGGTCTTAATTAAAACCTGGCTCACCTGAGGGTGAGTCCAGTCTCCACAACTGCACATTTATCTCCAGCAATAATTGCTGCTTAGTTGCAAGAATGAAGTAAAGAGAAAGTTGAGATTAACTTAGATTTAACTTTTTCCAAGCAGAGGGAGAAAAAAGTAATGGGGTTAAGAGTGTTTTCAAAGGAAGACTAAACTGTGCTGAATCACATAATCTAGGCTGAATAAGAAGGGAAGTGAAACACAAGAGTGACGATGACTCATGAAAAGTGGTGGAATCGGTAGAAATTGGAATTGTCAATCAGGTCAAGATATCATTGCAATAAAAATACTGGGAAAGTTAGACAGAAAGCTAGGAAGTGATGGAAATGATAAAGAGTGGGATGTTTGAAATAAAGATTTCAGAAGTAGTATAGCAATCAATAACATTCAGTTTAGACTTGAAACCTGGTTCAGCCACTGACTAGCTGTGAGACCTTGAGTAAGTTCCATAATTTCTCTGAACATCGGTTTCTCCACTTTAAAAATAATAATACCTACTTCAAAGGATTGTTGTCAAGACTAAAGGAGATGCATATTAATTGCCTGGTACATTGCCGAGCACATAGCACTAAATAAGTGGTTTTTATTATTTTGTGCCAAACCCTAAATTAGGTGCTTTCCAGAGAGTGTGGCCCTTAAAACTCTTTATCTCTTTAAAGTAGGTTTTATTATCTCCAATTTCACATACGTGGAAAATGTGTAAACCGAAGTTTAAATGACAGAACCCACATTCAAATCTGTTGATAGATAGGTTGAGAGATAATGTCAACAACTCTCAACCCTGGCTATGGGTTTAAATCACTTGGGAATTTTTTTTCTGTAATAATGAAAAATGGATGTTGGAGTTCAGTTTTATTGAGTTATAATTACATATCATAAAATGCATCCTTTTTTATATACACTTCTATGAGCTTTAGTAAACACATATAATCGTGTAAGCTTCACCACAATCAAGATGCAGAAGAGCTCCATCACCTCCAAAATAATTTCTCCAGGCTGCCTCTTTGTAGTTAATCCCTCCTCCCACTCCCAGCCCCTGGCAACCACTAATTTGTTTTCAGTCCCTATCGGTTTGCCCTTTCCAGAACATTATGTAAATAGAATCATTCAGTATATAACCTTTTAAGTTTGCTTTCTTTTGCTTAGCAAGATGCATTTGAAATTCATTCATGTTGTTGTGTGTATCAGAAGGTTGTTCCATTTTCTTGCTGAGTAGTATCCCATTGTATGGCTCTACTACCATTTGTTTATCCTTTTACCAGTTGGAGGACAACTGGGTTGTTTCCAGTCTTTGGCCGATGTAAATAAACTCACTGCAAGTATTTACATGTAGGTTTTTATATAAACACAAGTTGTGGTTTCTCAAGTAAGTACTTAGGAGTGAAGTTGTTAGTTTATATGGTAAGTGAATGCTCAACTTTATAATAAATAGCCAAGCTTTTTTCCAAAGTAGCTGTATTATATTTGACTTGCACAGGAATATGTGAAAGTTCCAGTTCTTTGCCAGCACTCAGAATTGTTAGGTGTGGTTTTTCATGGTTGTTTTGTTTTTTGTTTGTTTGTTTGTTTTGCCATTTTAAAAGGTATATAGCAATGTTTCAATGTGGTTTTAATTTGCATTATGCTAATTACTAATGATGTTGGACATCTTTCTATGAGTTTATTTGTCATCCATGTGCTCTCCTTGGTAAAGTGTCTATTTAAATCTTTTGCCCACCCCCCACCTTTTTCTTTTTTTTTTGAGATGGAGTCTTGCTCTGTCTCCCAGGCTGGTGTGCAATGGCACGATCTCGGCTCACCACAACCTCCACCTCCCAGGTTCAAGCGACTCTTCTGCCTCAGCCTCCCGAGTAGCTGGGACTACAGGTGCATGACATCACACATGGCTAATTTTTGTATTTGTAGTTGAGACAGGGTTTTACCACATTGGCCAGGCTGGTCTCGAACTCCTGACCTCGTGATCTGCCTGCCTTGGCCTCCCAAAGTGCTGGGCTTACAGGCATGAGCCCACGCCTAGCCCTTTTGCCCATTTTGTAATTAGGTTCTTTATTTTCTTATTAATCACTTTTAAGCATTCCTTATATATTCTAGAGACAAGTCCTATATTAGGTATGTATTTTTGCAAATACTTTCTCCAGTTTGTGGCGTGTCTTTCAATTTCTGTTTATCTCTTTTTAAAAATACTGATGCCCAGGCACCACCTCCAGAGTTTCTAATTCAATTGGTCCAGGGATTGGAATTTTTAAAGTTCCCCAGGGAATTCTAATTCTAATTACTTTTGCACCAACATAATGGAAACTATTTGGACAGCACAATCTTAAGAGAGTTTTTGGCCTTGCCGCACCATTCCCCATGCTATGCAAACCAGCTTATAACATGAAACAAATCTGACTCACAGAGCAATCTATTTTCTTTACAATTTGTCAAGCTGGGAAGTTATAGCAACTTGCCAAGCTCCTCCCACTAGTCCTGCCCCAACGTTATAATTGCCCACTGCCCTGTCACAGGTGGAAGAAAACTTATCAGAGGAAGCAGCTTGTGCTTTGTCCAAAAGGTCTTATCTACTCTTCAATAGCTCAGTAGGCCACAACCAGACCCCATAGCCATGCCAAACCTAAAAGCCCTTTTGTATATTGCAGATTGTATAAACTAGATAGAGGAAATAGGTTTCTTTTCATCATGGTTCCCACCTACAGCCTTTTGGAGAGACTGAAGGGTGGAGGCAGGATGGTTTACAGAGGTTCTCTAATGTAGTTGGCTATGGATGAAACAAAGCAAAGCCATCGTGCCAGTGACATCCAGCCATTCAAAGCCCCAAGAGGCTCTTATTTGAGTAGTGGAAGAGAGGCAGATTAAACTTTTTTTCTAAATTTATATCCAGTCCTCTTTTAACATTATTAAAATTGTTCCTCAAACAGAATATAGGTCTGAATCACTCCTAAGTTCATACACTGTCTATAATAACCCTTCAAGCCCATTTCCCAAATGTTTTTGGTAAGGATTCAACAACAGTATGCATACACAGCATCAGTCCTTTCCCTGGTACACAATACTTACAATTTTTGTCATCTACTCATAAGAAATGTTTGGCAAAAATCTAATAAGATAAGGTTCAGTAAAAATGTATTGGGCTCCTACCATGTATCAGTCCTGAGACAGTACCAAAAATAGGCAAGAAATTGCCTCTTCTCTATTTCCAAAGGACCCATTGCTATTGGGTCCCATTGCTCATTGATGGAGATGAATGCTAAATCTGATAAGTGACTATGGCAATAATAGTCATAACAATGTAATGGTCATAGTGGCAACTACCACTTATTGAGTACCTACTTTGTACCAAAAGAGTTCTAAGTGCATAACCCATTATTTTACTTAATCTTCACAAAAACCATATGTGACAAGTGGTGTTACACTTACTGCATATTACAGATGAGAAAACAGAGGATTCTGAAAGGTTTGGCTCCTTTGCTTAAGGCTCCTGCTTAAGAGGTGACAGCGTAAGGAATGGAGTGAAAGCAGTCTGACTCCAGAGCTCACTTTTTAATCATTCTGCTACTCTGCTACTGTATTAACAGATTATATTACATTCAATTGCAGACAACAAAACACCAAAATAAGGGAGAATTTCATTTCTGTCCTGTGTACAAGAAACCTGGAGAGAGGCTGCTCTTGTGGCCTCTCAGACATGGGGACAGAGGCCCCTTTATTTTTCTGCTGTGCCAGTCAGACATTTGGCTTCCATTGCAAGATGACTCAAGACCAAAGACGGCTGCTGTAGCTCCAGTCAGTATGTCTGAGTTCCAGAAGGCAGAAAGAAAAATGGAAAGTTGGGGCAGGTGATTCCTTACCTTTCGGTCCTCTTTTTTTGTTTGTTTGTTTCATTTTTGAGATAGAGTCTTGCTCCGCTGCCCAGGCTGGAGTGCAGTGGCACGATCTTGGCTCACTGCAACCTACACCTCCCCAGTTCAAGCGATTCTCCTGCCTCAGCCTCATGAGTAGCTGGGATTACAGGCACCCACCACTATGCCTGGCTAATTTTTGTATTTTTAGTAGAGACGGGGTTTCATCATGTTGGCCAGGCTGGTCTGAAACTCCTGACTTAGGTGATCTGCCCGCCTTGACCTCCCTAAGTGTTGGGATTACAGGCGTGAGCCACTGCGCCTGGCCCCTTTCTGTCCTCTTTTCAAGAATCTTTCTTATAAGTCCTTCCCCATTTCTCCCACTGACATTGGCCTAAACTTGGACATCTGGCCACAGCCATTGAGGCTGAGAAGTATAGTCCTCTAAATGGGTATATTGCCAACTCCAGAATTACAGAATTCTGTTGATAGGAAGGAAAGGAAAAGCTGGCTGTCACTGCCACATCTATAAGGCATGCAAAACCCTGAAGCCTTCCAGTTTGCTGAGGTCAATTTTTTCTGCAATATTTAAATAAAATTGGTTCTGATTCCCAATTTACGATGGGAAGATCTAAGGTCCCCCTCAGTAAATCTAGGGAGTTGTGAAGCTGACCTTCCACTTCACTATTCTGGCTCTAAGTCTCTGCTTCTACAGAGTCTCTGTTTCCACTTTGCATTTTACCTCCTACCTGCTGTCCCCTTTCTTTATCATCATTATCAAACTCATCTCAAAAAAGCGTCAGTAATGCAAGATTGTGTGTGCCATAGACTTTTATGGAAAGTTTGGACCAGAGATGGGAGATATAGTACAGTCAATCCCAGCAAACAGCAAGCTCACACTTGAATATAGGACACTCCAATTCTCTCTGCCTTTAGGGAACATCCACCAACCCTCTCTTCTTCTTGGCACCAGCTTTTAGCCCCATGGATGGGCAGCCTTTCTCCCATAACCTCACCGTCTGCTCTGCTCATTTTTAAGCTCTAAAACTCTGTCCATATCCTACCAAGCAGTTATTTCTTCATCACCCTCCAAGTTCATCCTGGTCATTCTCCAAAGAATATCTTTCCCCAACCAAAATAATTTATTGAGATAATTCACTAAACAAAGAAGGTTCTCAAAGGAGGGATTTGGAGGCCATGCCGGGAAGGTTAGGTATCATTCTCTAGGCACTGAGAAGTTCAGTAACATGACCAGATATGTACTTTAGTAATACAGTGGAAAGAGAATGGAGGCAGGGAAGCTGTTATGCACATATTGCACAAAACATACAGGAGATATGAAGTCCTAGTCCCTGAAAGGCCAAAAGGAAGCTTAGGATGAAGAGAATTTGGGCGTGAGTAGATGAGGGACAAGGAGGGAGGGCAAGAAAGGCTCTTTCTAGCCAAGAAAAGACATATAATAGAGAAACTATTGAAACAATGTCATTAAAATAATAGATTTTACAACACAGTTCTGGTGCCAGAAAGTGAAAGTAGAATCAGAAAACTCTAGCGAAGAAGACCACCACAGAACACCACGAGGGGTCTAGATCTCATCTTTGCGTGTAGCACACCATGGAAGGCGCTTTCATGTAGCACCTCCTTCCCATCTTCATCAACCCTGTGGAGGGAGGGATGACTTTAGTTCTGCTCTACAGATGAGGAACCAGAGTCAGAGGTTAAAGGAGCTTCCTGAAAGTCCCACAACTATTTAGTGCCGTGCCAGAACTCAAATCTATGACTGTAGGATTCCAAAGCTCATGCTCTGCCATTTCAGCGAGCTATCTCTGAGATCTTTGTAGCCAGAAAATCTTTCTCATAGTTGTGAATTAATAAATTGTGATCAGTTCCCATTGATTGGGTCTAAAAGGCAATGAAGGGTCATCACACTGAGCAATATTTTTCTCGACACCCTTAGTTTATGATTTGGCATTAGGGTTTAAAATTTGTGTTTCCTGCCATCCTCATTTGATCTTTGGCACCTCGTGATCCATCATCAGGCAAGCTCATGGTAATGGAATCCCTAGGGAGGAGGTAAGAGAACAGAGAGCAGAGCTCTGTTGAGCAGATGTCTCTCCACAGGTTCCCAACCTCCTCCTGGGCTGGTTCTTGCAAAGCTCAAACATAGGCTCCCCATTCCAGTATTCATCTTGGGTTTGAGTTTCATGATCAAAGAAAGATTTCTAAAGACTCAGTCTATATAGTCTGACAGGTTCCCTTGTTTTATCTTTCAGAACAATAAATGATTTTCCCTCCTCAAATTGAAGACAGCCTTGAGAGGTGAAACAGGAGGGTTGGTCCTTTGCAACTCCTCCGTGATCTAGGATTAGTCATTCATTCCACAGCTTGCATTTGTTTGTTCCCTGAAACACCTCTGGAAACTGCTGTTAACAACACTGGGGAGTGGAAGAGGCAGAATATTGTGAGGACAGGAAGGAAATGCAAAGATGAACAAATGCATGCCAGTCCTCAAATCTCTGAAAGACTAGCTGTCTCAAATGTCCCAATACACAGCCATATGTCAAAATCATAATAATGATGCAGCCACTCCTGATGCTTATAAAGTCTCTAAGATATAATTTAGCAAGCACATGATAAATGTTAGTTCATATTATTATTACTATCAGTTTTATTGTTATTAGGCAAATACTGTGCAGCAGGCACTGTGCATACATTATCTCATTTAATTCTTTCAATCTTCCTATCACGTGGATATTAATGTCCCCATTTTATGATTCATCATAAAACTAAACAAGCAGTTTTGCTGTGCCTCACACTAGCTGAAAACCATTTGCATAATCCCAAAAAACCCTACAAAATAAATGCCATTATCATACTTATTTTGCAGATGACAAAACTCAGGCTCAAAGAGGTTAGGTGACTTGTCCAGAGCCACAGGGTGGTCAGTGGCAAAGGCTGGGTCTAAATATGATTCAGCCTGCTTCCAGAGACCATGACCCCCATGCTGCTTCATACAGACACAAACTTCCAAATTTATTATTTATTTATTTATGTTTGAGATAGGATTTCACTCTGTCCTCCAAGCTGAAGTGCAGTGGCATGATCATGGCTCCCTGCAGCCTCAAACTCCTGGGCCCGAGTGATCCTCCCAATTCACCCTCCTCAGTAGCTGAGGCTATAGGTGTGCATCACCACACTCAACTAATTTTCTTTCTTCTTCTTTATTTATTTATTTTATTTTATTGTTATTATTATTTTTTTTTTGTAGAGACAGGTGTCGCTGTGTTACTCAGGCTGGTCTCAAACTCCTGACCTCGAGCTATCCTCCTGCCTCAGCCTCCCAAAGTACTGGGATTACAGCTGTGAGCCACTGTGCCTGGCCCACCCCTAAATTTAAAAACTCACCAAAGAGAACCAAATGAATCAAGGAACGCTCACGTTTATTGGGGTTTCAAAAGACCCTGTACCTCACCCTATTGACTAGCAGAGCACTTTTCCAGATCAAAACTTCTCTAAGTCAGGTCATGAAGATGACTTGTAAGCTCAGCATCTTTCTGTCACCTGTCAGCAGTGAGGAGAAAGGTGTTGTAAAGTTCATGTAGCTCTTCTATATAGGGATCAATTGACAGCCCTGTAGGAAGGATGTCAGTTAACCAATTCAGAGAAGGTGAGCACATTTTAATAGAAATTTGCAAGTTTCTTAAATTGCTGATGGTGATAATGAGTTTCCTCCAGCAAAGCCAGGAAAACCTGGGCTTCTTTTACATCTTCTGCAGCACCTAGTAGTGTGGACAGTGCATGCCATGAGCACCTAGCATGGCTGTAGGAGGGACTGACCACCTTCTCTGGGCCCAGCATAGCAGGAGATGCTGCAGAACATGGGAAAGAACCCTGAGACAAAGGGCTTGATATCAATATGAAGAAACAAGATGTGCACACGTGAAATAATTGTGAGTGCTGCAAGAGACAATCAGGCCTGCGTCAGAAGTCGGGACACCTGAGGTCTGATTCCAGCTCTCACCCTCAGCAGTCCAGGGCCCTCAGGCAAGTCATTCACATGTCCTGATCTCAGTTTCCTCCTCTGAAAAATGAAGAGTTTGAATTAGATTGCCTGTCTCATTAGTTTGCATGAAAAACAACCAAGAGAGGGGAAAGATTTGTAAAGAAGGGCCTATTGTCTCAACTCCCCCCCCACCCCAACACACATCCTAACCCCAGCTAGCATCTGGGAGCCAGGTGCAATTAGTCCCTGTAGCTGAACTGCCTCAGTTCAAGCCCTGCTTTGTCATTTTCTCCTTGTATGACTTGGGAAATACATTTAACCCTAGAGCTTTCCAAACAGGTTGCTGAAAGTTAGAGGTGTGCCAAGATATGGATCCTTCAGCTTTAGGACACCTGGAAAGTGATATAGGCCCCAGGCTAGTGAGCAGCCTCGCCCTTTTATACATTACAACCTTTCCATATCCATAATATATATATACATATATATATATTTTTTTTTTGGGGGGGGCGGACAGAGTCTCACTCTGTCGCCCAGGATGGAGTGTAGTGGCATGATCTCAGCTCACTGCAGCCTCTGCCTCCCAGGTTCCAGTGATTCTCCTGCCTCAGCCTCCTGGGTAGCTAGGATTAGAGGCACATACCACCCTGCAGGGATAATTTTTGTATTTTTAGTAGAGATGGGGTTACGCCGTGTTGGCCAGGCTGGTCTAGAACTCCTGACCTCAGGTGATCCACCTGCCTCGGCCTCCCAAAGTGCTGGGATTACAGGCATGAGCCACCGTGCTTAGCCCAAATATTATTTTCAAGGTGGGTTATGTGATATGGAAAAGGTTGAGAAGTCCTGATAACCTGTTGAGATCTTGGATTCATCATCTGCAAATGGAAATTATAACAGTTTCTGCATCATAACCATCTTGTGAAGATTAAGTTTTTGTATGTAAAGTGCTTAATATGCCCATGCACATAGTAAATGCTCAGTAATGTTTGTATTATTATCACCACTACCAAGAGTATTGGCCAGTTTCCAACCTAACAAGACTAGGTTCTTAGTGCAAATGAGTAGTCCTGGTTCCAATGCTGAAGCTCCTCAGTCCGCCGCTAGCAAAAAAATGGGTAGACTTGCCTCCTACTCACTTTCCTCCAGATGAACCCTGTGCAAAGAGCACGCTTTTGACTCTGAAAGTATATGCCCAAGAAGAATTCTCTTCTCTACAGGAACAGCCTCCTTTAACAAGGCTATGCCTTAAAACACATTGTTAATAGGCTGTGCCTCAAAACAAGTAAATCAATATGTATAATAATTACAAACAGTGACGAGTGCTATAAAGGAAAATAAACAAGGTATCATGACAAAGTACTTTTTCTGAAGAAGTGATACTTAAGCAGCCTCAACTTTGTGCACTGAAATAGATGCTAGAGATGCAGAGATAAGTAAGGCATGGTACCTGCCGACAGCCATGGGATAAACACCTGAGACAGGAATGTTGATGAAAACTCATGAAAAGGAGTTATGCCAAGCACCAGCCCTTGCCCTCAGAGGTCTGCACAGCAGACTTTCTGAGTGGAGTCTAACTCGCTGATCACAGCAGCTCAGGAGCTTTGCATGTGCCAGGCCATCTACTTTGAACACTCTGGCCCACTCCTCATGTTGCTAGTTCACAGAGGCTGCAGACAAGGAGCCACGGCCACCCCAGGGAATCAAAAAGCTCCTGACACTTGCCCTGGCAAGGAGGTGAGATCACCAAAGCAAGGGGTGCAAGGAGAGAAAAGAACTGAAGGGAGAACTTTGTTAAATGACTACACACAGATGGAGATGGATAAATAAGAAGCGATGATGAAGAAAGAAAAGAAGTGGGCAGAAGAAAGGGAGTGAAACCAAAGGAAGAACAGATTCTTACACAAGGGAACAGAGAGGGAATGAGTGTTTGCATCACAAGCTGCAGGGACACTGATAAAAGGCCATTCTGTTGACAGCTTGTGGGTTAGAGATGGCAATTTCTGGGGTGTGATGAAGGCCAACACCACAGTGCAAAGGGAAGCATTAGCATGGAGAAGAGCAAACAGCAAGCAAGAGAATGGATCCTTTATTTAACAACCCAACGAATGCATTTGTCCTGGACACAACCTGTGCCTGTGCCTTGTTAAAAGTCATGAATATGTATGTGAAAAGCAATTATTTGCTAACATGCAACATAGACATTTTATATACTATTCTTCACCACTCGTCACTCTCATAGATCTGGCCCTGAAAAGTCCCTTGCAAAGTAATTGAAAATATATATATAATGTATACATTTACATATGTATGCATATACACATATTTGCACAAATATATCTGTAGACCTTATTAACTCTTTAGACATTTCCCACTTGGAATAAATTCAACAATAGCCCTTGGCTATATTAATTTCTCTTGAGAGTTTGTTTATAAATGCCCTAGCTTATCATTTCTTTGACTTCTAAAGAAAAATAACCAATATAATGAGTTTCTCTTATATGTGAAGTATAGATACAAACACCTGCTCCTTTGAAAACATTTCTAAGATTATTTTAATTAGGAGAGTGCTTATGTGGCAAAATACTATAAGCTCAGCCAAGGGCACTTGCTATTTTTCTTGGTGGGAAAGCCTCTTTCAAGAAGCCCCCCAGTGTATCCAAGGGAGTCACTATTCCATTCACTGGAGTTCTCTTGTTCAAAATTTAGCTCAAAACTCACCATTGCTGTTGCATTCAGTAGGAGCTACTTAGCTAGAAACAATCCATCAGGACCACGTAGGTGAGATTCTTCGGAAGAACAGTAACCCATAACCCCCATCTTTGTCAGCTGTGCACAGAAGACACTGCGGCCACAGTTTACCCAGTGCATGCCAGCCTTCCATCCTCATAGACCAGCAGCAGGTGGCAACACTCACGCCATAAAATGCAAATTGTAGATCGAGACCATCCCGGCTAAAACGGTGAAACCCCGTCTCTACTAAAAATACAAAAAATTAGCCGGGCGTAGTGGCGGGCGCCTGTAGTCCCAGCTACTTGGGAGGCTGAGGCAGGAGAATGGCGTGAACCCGGGAGGCGGAGCTTGCAGTGAGCCGAGATGGTTCCACTGCACTCCAGCCTGGGCGACAGAGCGAGACTCCGTCTCAAAAAAAAAAAAAAAAAAAAAAAAAAATGCAAATTGTACACATGTGCCCTATAGAAGGCTGAATCCGCCTAGAGTTCTGAGGTGTGGGGGAGTAGAAAAGGGGAGAGGAGAAGGAAGGAGGTAAAAGTGGTAGAAGTTTGTATCACAGGATAGGGGAGAACCAGAAGTAGGCACTGTAACCGAATCCATCTCACCAAAAGATTCTCTCCTGCAAGCCTCCTAAATTCGGAGTCTCTGGCCCTGTTCTTCCCCTCCCTGTGTGTTGGCATCCCTGTCATGAAGGGTCTCTCATGTCTTTGGGAAGGCCCCCCAGAGAGAATGGGTGCAGGCCCATGAAAGATTTGCTGTGGCTCCCCCTCCCTAGTCATCTTCTGAGAATGTGTCCCCTCCCAGTGGAACCCCCATCTCACCTGCTCCTCATCTGGGCTGGGGAGGCCACGTGAGGGCTCAGGTGGGTCCTCTCGGCACTCACCTTGAACCCAGCCCATTGTAATCTCAGGGCAGGGGGTATGGCTGATCCCCCACAGAATCTTCTGAGATCTGTCATCTCTGTTGGTGCCACTTTCACCTGCTTTAGAAATGGGACACTGCCTGCTTCCTGAGAGTGATGAGTTGAGAAATATTCGGGTAGGAGAGAATTGTTGGTTGTCACTTCAGCTCCAAGTCTCCTTTCCTTTTCTGCACAAAGCCTTTTTAGTCCAGTTATAAGAGTCCCCTGGATGAGAGACAGTAGGTCTCACAAAGAGAGGTTGAGTGAGAAAATGGGAAACTTCTATTCACCCTCACAATTTCTCATTGCAGTTGTGGAACAGAACAAGAAGTTTCTAGATTAAAGATTTCAAACCTAGGAAGAAACTTCTCCAGGTTCTGTTTTAGAAGTGCATTGAGCACACCTAGGGCTTGGTCTAGACTCTGGATGATTTCTAACCTTCCTACCAACTCTGAGACTCTAAAACTATCAGCCAACAATACTTGCTTCCAACCTGTTTTATCCCACTCTGAGGCAAAGGCTCCTGTATAAATACTCCACAGGCTACTGCTAAGTAAAGCTCTCTGGGATTCCTCTTCCTCGTCAATGAATAATGGCCCTAAGCTCCCACTGAAGGAGTACCTAACATATGTCAGGAACTGTAACACCTGTCCTTCGATGACTCATAACAACCTGCATAGTAGATATCACCATCACTATTTTCCAGGTAGGGAAACAGGGTCAATGAATTGGGTGACCTGCTCCAGACCACAGAGAGCAATAATTTTATTTGTCCTTTTTTTTCTTTTTTTTTTAAGACGGAGTTTCGCTCTTGTTGCCCAGGCTGGAGTGCAATGGCATGATCTCGGCTCACCGCAACCTCCACCTCCCAGGTTCAAGCGATTCTACTGCCTCAGCCTGCCAAGTAGCTGGGATTACAGGCATGCACCACCACACCTGGCTAATTTTGTATTTTTGTTAGAGATGGGGTTTCTCCATGTTGGTCAGGCTGGTCTCGAACTCCCGAGTGATCCACCCACCTCAGCCTCCCAAAATGCTGGGATTACAAGCGTGAGCCACTGCACCCGGCCTATTTGTCCTTTAGTAAGCACTTACTTAGTATGCCCAGGCACTGAGCAAAGTGATCTGTGTGCAACATCTTACTTCATTGTCATAACCACTCTCTGGGTCTCTCTCCAGAGGCTGTGTGAATTCTACGACACCTCACTCCCTCTCCTAAAATAAGAAGGGGCTGCTGATGCTGGCCTCGGCATTCTCTCCCAGGTTGTCTGAGCATCAAATGTGAAACCACGTACAGTGAGTCTAGCATAGGTAGATGCCAAGAAAACATGCGCCTTCACCTTTCCCTTTTGTAGTGACTTTTTCCTTCCAAGGTGGCCTTTGATGATAACCTGAAGCCACCCACATAAAAATGTTAGGAGCAGAAAAAAGGACAGTTCCAGCCCACTTGCCGCTTCAACAATGAAGAAGGACCAATCTGGGCCAGAAGATTGGCTTGGGGCACAGATAACCCTGTGGATTCTTTAGTTGAAAGTAACCACATGAGCATCATCATAACCATCATCATCAATTACCATCATCATTATCATTTGATAAAGCAGTCAAGTAAAATAATGTATGCTGATGATGATTATTAACAATAGCATGACCAGACAAGATAATACTTGAATTCCTCATATTATAGAGACTGTACCTTCAATAACCTCCAAAATATTTTCATAGAGGGAGATCTAGAGAAGAGAGTAAACAGATAGGTTGGTTACATTCTTTATTTATTTATTTATTTATTTATTTTTTTTTTTTTGACAGAGTCTTGCTCTGTCACTGAGGCTGGAGTGCAGTGGCACAATCTTGGCTCACTGCAACCTCCGCCTCCTAGGTTCAAGCAATTCTGCTGTCTCAGCCTCCCGAACAGCTGGAATTACAGGTGCCCTCCAACACGCCCAGCTAATTTTTGTATTTTTAGTAGAGACAGGGTTTCACCACGTTGGCCAGGCTGATCTCGAACTCCTGACCTCAGGTGATCTGCCTGCCTCAGCCTCCCAAAGTGCTGGGATTACAGGCGTGAGTCACCACACCTTGCAGATTGGTTACATTTTTTTTTTTTTTTTTTTTTGAGACAGAGTTTTGCTCTTGTCCAGGCTGGAGAGCAGTGGCGCGATCTTGGCTCACTGCATCCTCTGCCTCCAGGGTTCAAGTGATTCTCCTGCCTTAGCCTCCTGAGTAGCTGGAATTACAGGCATGCATCACCACGCCCAGCTAATTTTGTATTTTTAATAGAGACAGGGTTTTGCCATGTTGGTCAGGCTGGTCTCGAACTCCCGACCTCAGGTGATCCACCCACCTCGGCCTCCCAAAGTGCTGGGATTACGGGCATGCACCACCACGCCCGGCTAATTTTGTATTTTTCGTAGAGACAAGGTTTCTCCATGTTGGTCAGGCTGGTCTCGAACTCCTGACATCAGGTGATCCACCCACCTTGGCCTCCCAAAGTGCTGGGATTACAACCATGCACCACCACACCAGGCTAATTTTTGTATTTTTAGTAGAGACGGGGTTTTGCCATGTTGGTCAGGCTGGTCTCGAACTCCTGACCTCAGGTGATCTGCCTGCCTCGGCCTCCCAAAGTGCTGGGATTACAGGTGTGAGCCACCGTGCCCGGCCAGTTGGTTACATTTAATCAACAAATTATTAAACTTCCTTGACCTGTTTTGGGGGGTGACTTCTCTGACTCAAAGGACAACTTATTTCCTACCTGTTTATATGTTGATATATTTGGGGCAGTGGTTTGGCAGACTTGGGAGTTCTCTATTCCCTACCCAACTTTAATTGGAGCCCTGTCAGGTTCAATAACATGATGTCATACACCCCTGATTAATGATGCTGCCTGTCCCCTAAACACAGGTGGTTACTGTCCACCTGGCGCCTGCTTGGGCAGAGAAATCATAAGTCTCTTCTTAGACACAAAGAAACATAGGCATTCCCAGACAAATTGCTTTTCCTTCAGACACCTTTGTAAAAATTGCCTGGGCTTCCCTGACAGGTGATGGAGTGACCGAGGTTGCTCAAGTAGAAGAGACAGTAGCAGTGAGGCTGAAGGGACAGAGCACCTGACCAATCACTCCCTGAAAAACCCACAGTTTTCGTGGCTAACCAAGGGCATCGGGAAGAGGACATCAGTGCAGGTTCACTGGGTCCAGCCGCATATGACAGGGCCTGGATAGATGTTTCTCAGGACCCAGCAACCTGCTTCTCAAGACAGCAATAATGGGGACACTGCATTACCCACCATATGGAGCTCAGTGTCACAGAGAAAACAAATGTTTCTGAGAGAATTCACACTTCATTTCTCTCTGAGGTCCTGTGATTTCTCTTCATACCCCACTCCCCATCTACATTTAGGCAGGACTAGCAACAATAGCTACATATACAGCATGCCTTAGCCCCGCTGCGGCTGCATAAACGGAACAGAGATGTTTTAAGAAAAGTAAGGAAATCAGAAGAAAATAAGTAACAACTCAGCAAAATGCTGTATTTGGTGAGGACTTTCTTACAGACATGTTTGGGCCTAAGTAGTGAATTTCACCAGCGTAACCCAACGGCTGATTCCATCCTGTGTCTGGGAGATGGCAGATAGTTGGCACTTGGGAAGAATTGACTTCATGGATGAGAAATCACTGACCTCATCCATTTGCTAGATCAGCCCACCCCAACCTTCCTGCCTACCCAGTGTGAAGTATAAGACACAGTATGCGCAAAATACCTAATAGGGCCTGATATCAGCAACCTATGGCCCACTCAAGGCAGCCTGACCGAACCTCTGAGCAACGCTCCAGTTGTTGCTGATCCCAGAGGCCTGCATGAAACTGTAAAGTTGGCAAATTGTTTTCTTGGACACCTGCCTCCACTCCCTCTCATAATTCTTGATAGCCTCTTTCCTTTTGGACAGTCTTTCTGGTTGGTTGGTTTTCTGGTCTGTTTCCTCCATGATACTATAAGGCCCACAAAAAAGAGACTGTATTCTTCCTGTTCACCTTTGAATCCTTAAAAGCTGATATAGATACATAGAGATGATCCCTTACCAGTGCATGGGATAAATGAATGAGTGAATTAGAAAGCTGCTAAGGCTGGATATCAGGAGACCTCAGGTCTAGCCCAAACTCTGCCATTAATTGAATACGCAGCTTCAGATCTGGAGCTCAGTTGCATCATCTATAAAATAAAAGAACAACTCTGATGAGCAACTGACACCTCTTCCCATTCCCATGCTCAGTACAGCCCTGGGGGTCCACAGAGGAGGGTGAGGGGCTTTGGGGAAGTATGGGATGAAGGAGACCTTGAGCAGACCAGCCTCGGTTCTCCCACCCTTCAAACGGAGCCACCTGCTTTTACCTATTTATGTATTGGGCTCTCAAATAAGACTGTGTGTGGAAAATAGAGTTCTACAACTAAGAGAGAGCTTTAAACTATACAAGTAGATGAACTGTACAGTCCTTTTCAGCTAGTCCACTCGTCTGTTAAAAAGGTCCCACCCCCTCAATCACTTGATCTCAGTCCACCTCTGCAGGCTCATCTTCCACAATCTCGAAAGTAGCCTGCATGTGTCTGCCCAGCTACACCTTTTCGCCTGCCTGAAACCACCCTTTCCTCTATTTTTTTTCTGACTGGCAAAGCCCAGCTTACCCTCCAAGAAGTAGCTTAAAAGGCTCCCTCCCCCAGTCTCCGGGCTTCCACAGCAACCAAAGAACCGTGCTCCTAAGAACCACGCTCACCGCACTGAGCTCCAAGAACACCTCATAAATGCTCAATAGTATTAAATACTGGCCACATGGAATCAGCTGTTTATTAAACTCTTTCCTGATTGAAATATAGATGCTTCAAGGTCAGGAAATCTGTCTTACCATTTGTGTCTCTGTCATTCATTGCACTTCCTCATTTCATAGCCACTTAATGTGTGTGGAATAAAGGAAGGAAATTAGAAAGTCAAAAATTATTTGGGAAACTGTTAAATGAGCTGATAAGTAGGTTAGGGAATAGTCAAAGTAAGATAAGTTACATATTAATGGGAAAATCTGTCTATCTGGGTAGAGTAATTGGCATTCAAGTGTGAATAACCCCTAGATTTAATCCTTCCAGGTGAAAGTACACTTATTTAAAAGTACTTATTTATCTAATGGCTTTCTTTGGTGGAATGCAGAGGGAAATTTATGTCTTAAGTGGAGAAGCCTTTCTCCACTTATGATCAGGCAACATAATAATTGAATTCATCATATTATATAAACTGTACCCCCAATAACTTACCCCTTAAGTGGAAAAGCTTCCCCACTTAAAAATAGAATTTTCCTCCTTTTGCCTACTCCCAGCTGGGTCTTTCTCCTTTACCCTGTTAGGAAGGAGAAGTTTTGCTTCCTGGTTCTAAAAGGGCAATAGGGAATCCGGGTAGGCTGCAAGTGACTCAGCAGAATTAGAGAGGGAGAAGCATGTCGTGATTATCTTTGCTATTGGGTTGTGCTCTGTTAAGCATAGTTTAGAAAGGTCAACATTGCATGTAGGCTGTCTGAAAGAACTAAACCTAAGGCTGGCTCTTTATTTACATATATGATAGAACCATAGACTGTAACTTGAAAAGAAATTCACATTGAAAAGGACCATATTTTTCTGAAAACCCAAATCACACATCATCTGGGATACATATAAGAGGATTAACAGAGAATATTGCAAATCGAGAATCTCCCGGTACCTTGTCCCAACCCACTTTTCAATGTGGAAGTTCACTCCAAGTTCTAACTGATTTTTAGGCTGGCAAATTATCAATTTAACCACAAATAGTTCTGGGTATAGAAATATAAAACACTAGAAATGGGACAAAATATAAATAGGAATCTGTTTACAATAGATTTATATCGTGGGTAATTGAAAAGGTGTCAGACTTGCAGGCTTATTACCTCTAGTCCTGCTGAAATAAATCCTTTATATTTCTCAAGGACTTAGAATTCTCATCTCTGACCAACACTAAGGGAAAATTTCCATCATGTGGTCTGCAGCATGCAGTCACTCACTGATGGCTGCCTGCACCTAAACACTGGATTTCATATTGATTCTCTCTAGCTATATCAATAAGTACTTTTGAAATCAATATGCCTCTCCCTCTAATCACTTGGTGGATAACCACAAAATGTAAAATCACTTCGATAATAGCATAAGGCAAATATGATTAGAAAGGTAACTCAGGGGCAAAATTTTTTAATGGATTCACCAAATTAAGTAAATATTATTTATATGTTAATCTCTCTTTTTTTTTTTTGAAACAGAGTCTTGCTCTGTTGTCCCCACTGGAGTGCAGTGGCATAATCTCACTTCACTGCAACCTCCACCTCCCAGGTTGCAGCGATTCTCCTGCCCCAGCCTCCAGAGTAGCTGGGACTACAGGCGTCCGCCACTGCACCTGGCTAATTTTTTTGTATTTTTAGTAGAGACGGTGTTTCACCATGTTGGCCAGGCTGGTCTCAAACTCTTGACCTCAGGTGATCCACCCGCCTCGCCCTCCCAAAGTTCTGGGATTACAGGCATGAGCCACCGCGCCCGGCCATTGATCTCTCATTTAAAACAGTGATTCTCTACCCTAGTACACCCAAATTCATTTTTGGTAATAAATACTTTGTAATGCTTCCTCTACTATTCTGGATGAAAACTAGAGATGGTTACCTTCCTACGCACTTGATTTTTTAAAAAATAAATATGTCCTGAGTGTGAAAGATAAATCAAAGGAAAGTAATTTTGAATAAAAACAATATTTATTTCAACATGTGAATGATGGGGCATGCGTACATTAGGAGACGCAACGAAGTCGTCAGTTGTTTGCAGTCATTTGTAGAACCACTGTGAGTACAACTGCCACAAATGCAGACTCATATAGGACAGTTATTTGATGCTCAAAGTCCATGAATAACATTGTTGTTGATGATGGTCTTCCAAAATGATGATCAAGTCGGTAAATTCCAAACCAAACAAGAGACAACTGTCTCTCAATTTACCCAGCTGTTGCAGTCCTGGAAAATTCAATGTCTAAAAAGCCATGCAAAAAAAAAAATGCTTTGTGTGTATATGTAAAATGGAGATAAATTCAAGTTCAAAAATTATAAACAGGTTTGTACTTAAATGAATGTCCACTGGGGCCATCAGCAGTCATATATGATACAAGACAGAGCTTCATTCTGTGAGTCAGTCACATTGCAGAATGATAAACAGCCCAGGTCCCTGTCCACTTAATGCCACAAGTGCCCACAATCATCATGAGAACCGTAGACACTCCCACATATTTCCAAAATTCCCCTAGGAGTCAGTACCACCTTCACTGAGAACCATTGGTTCATACAGTATTTCCTACAGGGCTTCCCTCACTAACTAGATGATTAAGAGTTGACTTTAGCTGTAAAACCAAAGAATGATGCATCAGAAGGGACCCTAAACTGTATCTAATTGGCCGTCTCATTTCATCCATAAGAGGGTAACTTGCCCCTCAACACTCAGTAATCTAGGACCCTAGATAATCTAGGATAAAAACCAAGGTTTCGCCGGGCGCAGTGGCTCACGCTGTAATCCCAGTACTTTGGAAGGCTGAAGCAGGAGGATCACTTGAGGTCAGGACTTCGAGACCAGCCTGGCCAACATGGAGAAACCCCATCTCTACTAAAAATACAAAAATTAGCCAGGCATAGTGGTGCATGCCTGTAGTCCTAGCTACTTGGGAGGCTGAGGCAGGAGAATGGCTTGAACCCAGGAGGTGGAGGTTGCATTGAGCCAAGATCACACCACTGCACTCCAGCCTGGGCGACAGAGTGAAACTCCATCTAAAAAAATTTAAAAAAAATTAAAAAAATAAAATAAAATTCCATTTCCATGCTTTTAATTTCTTATTGAAATTAGAAAGATACTCTTAAATGTGTTCCTCTTACATACCAGATATTTTAAAATAGTTGAATGAGAACATTTTTCTCAGGATATTTGAGGCTGTAAACATTCAATTATCACCAGTGAGCTTCAATGCCAGGCTAGATGCTCTCTAGTACCCACTCTAAGTCTGAATTTCTCCATACAAACAAATCAGAAAGATTTTAAAATATTATAAGATCTTTTACAGTGTGTCCAAAACAACGATTTCGTGAAGCAGAAATTGTCTTGTATGGTTAGTGCCTGATTGATTTTCCCAGTGTTCTCCCCAAACTACAGTCATTAGGACCCCAGCAGGACCTTGGGAAATGACTAAGATTCCAAATGCTCCTTATACCATGCACAGCCAGGGCCTCTTTCTCTGATTCAGACAGCAATGGACTGGTCCATTCACAAGACCTAATGAAGACTTGGCCATTTGCTAATTACCCTTGGCAAGTGTATTCTGGTGGCAAAATGGGGGTATTTTTAAATTTAATTTGTCAGATCGAATGTTATGGAGAGAATGTTTGATTGCACAAATTCCATAAATATTGGCTCTCCAAATTAAATTTGCAATCAAATCGATGCCTGCTTCAAAAGCATCATTTGGAAAAGATTTTACTTATAAATCTTGTACAATATCAGGTGGTAAAGTTGGGTGATGAGAATAAGCTCATAGAATATAGGAGTAATTGGATAATGCTGTGGATCCAATACCAAAGCAGGGAAGTGAGTTGCATCTTCACTTCCTTCCTCACACATCACTGAAAGAGCAACCTAATCCGTATGTGCAAACTCAACTCCCGAGAACCCTGAAAACACACGGCATCCAAGAAAATATCATCAGGTTCTTGTATTTAATGCGTGCACACTCTATACTTTCCCCATGGAAGAGTTCTTCAGGCCTTCTTCAAAGACCATTTCCTCTTAATTTTAGACTCACTCTAACAATTTAAATATCAGGTGTTGGAAGCAGCAATTTAGAAAAGAGGCAGTCTGACTGCTCCAGGTAAGCACTGGGACAGCAACAAGAAGTAAAAACTGACAGTCTGACATCAAGGAAGGAGATGGAAAGCTACATTTACAAAGCAAGGGGAGGAGGGCTGACATAGGAACTCAAAATAAATAACAGACTGGGCCATTTAATGTAGAGACAAACAGCTTCACTATCCCTGACAGCATCTCCATAATACTGAACAATATTGTAACTGATGTAAAAGAAAAGCTAAGCTGTGCTCAACAGATTTTGCAGCAAAAAATACTACAAAGTTCAATATAACAGATGGAATCCTAGAGGGTCAGAGTTAGGAGATCCGTAAGAGAGTCTTTGGTGTAATACTTTTATTTTAGAAACAAGGATGCTGAATCTACAGGGATGGAGTAGAAACAGGAGCCCAGCATAACTGGTCCAGTGCTTCTTCCGTGTAAACATCCTGACAACTGAAGCAGCTGAGGGGAAAGAAGAGATAGTACATCACATGGAATCATTTATTGTGCCATTGCTTTTGACATCTCTGTTTTTGCTTCTTTGCATTGATTTCACTCCCTTCCAAATGAGAAGAAACCTGCTCTCTTTATTCACAAAAGAGTGAACTATTGTTCCCTGGTTTGTGATGAGAGAACTTCAGGGTTGGCCCTTAACAAAATTAGGACTGAAGGTAAAGTTGACTTTGAGTTCCCTCCTACATCCTCTTACATCCCACCCCTGGTATGTTTCCTCCAAGCTGTCCTATGTCTGACCTCCAACTCGTTGCCCCACCCACTGGCCCACACCCAGAATTCCTAGCACAAAATAGGGAACTCTCCCAACTCCCAGAAGTTTGGTATGTTCTTAATCTCTTTCTAATATATTCTCTAATTATGTCAGAGAATGAGGCAATATTCCAGTGCATTTCTGATACAAGTGAGCACATGTATTACCTTGGGAACTGGTTAAAATGCAGCATCCTGATTCCTATCTCCTGAAATTAGGATTCAATCGATGATTCTGGTGGAAGTGGGCCCTGAACCCACTTTGGAAAACACATGGCTCTGCTTAGCTGGCCAGCGTCATCTCCTCCTAATACCTCAGTGCACACTCCCCTCCACCCAAATACTTCATACTGTCTCTCTCTGCCATGTCTTTGCCTCATGTTCCACCTTCTTCATCCAATTAATCCCTACATATGCCTCAAAACCCTCTAAGTACATGTCTCACATCTCTCCTCTCATTGTTATACATTTTTACACTGTCAAGCTTACACAGCCTACAGTGGGCACTGATGGCCTCTCTCCCCTTAAGGGCAGGGGCATATGCCATTTGTCTTTTTTATACCCAGTGCTTCACACCCTGCCATGCACATGGTAGGACTCTAAAAGTGTTTGTTAAATTACTTTTTGTGCATGTGCTAGATTTCCTTGTTAATAATTAGTAATTTATTTATATTTGCATCTTTTATCTACCCCCTAGATATAGTACAGCATTTTCACAGATTGCTCAAAGTATCACTCTCAAATGAGGAGCACCTTCTATAATATGTAAAAACTGAAAGAGAAGAAGTTTGTGCATAATATAACCCTGGTGCCATCTAGGGTGGGGGTCGTGATGAATTGGGCCCATGTTCACACAGGATATCTGACACCTAAGGAGCATGATAGAGACACACACAAGTGGAATTTTTTCTAAATAAAGATCAGTTTCCAACAGTTTAGTAGAATTAGTTCTGATTGCCTTGCTAGTCATTCAAGTTTGCATTTTTCAGAAGTGAGGTTGGAAGAGGTAAGAGTTGGCTCTGAATCGATTCATATACATAAAACTTTGTGTATTTGTTCTGAGATCCTAGAAAGTCTCAGTATGTTCCACCCAAGATTGTTGGCCACAGGATGTCAGCTCATCTCCTGAAGTCCACCATCTGTGTATGTCTGTCCCTTGCAGGCGTCTGCTATGCAGAGTTTGGAGTTCGAGTCCCCAAGACCACAGGATCTGCCTACACCTACAGCTATGTCACTGTTGGGGAATTTGTGGCATTTTTCATTGGCTGGAACCTGATCCTGGAGTACCTGATTGGCACTGCGGCCGGAGCCAGTGCTCTGAGCAGCATGTTTGACTCACTAGCCAACCACACCATCAGCCGCTGGATGGCGGACAGCGTGGGAACCCTCAATGGCCTGGGTGAGACTGCCACATCCTCCTACCCTCAACATGCAAACTTACCAAGCCACATAAATGAGTTCTCCTTTCAGAAAGCAATTTGGCAAAATGTATCAAAAGCCTTAAATATATCTCTCTTTTTCTTTTGCAAAGTAATTCTTTCTCTATGAATCTATCCATCCTTAAAAAATAATTCTAATGTCCATGGAAGCATTATACAAAAAGATGCTCACCACAGCCTTATTTACAATAACAAAAAGTTAGAGACAGCCTAAATATTCTACAGTGGGGCAAGTGACTAAGTAAATTGCAGACAAATACTATGTAGCTAGCAATTAAAAGGATGATTAGGGAAACTTGTAATAACATGGATTATGTTTTAATGTAATGTCATACGTCAAAGGCTACAAACCATACAGGCACATGTCAATAACTATATAAAAATAAAACCAATGCAGGAAAAAAAGAACTGTCAGCAATTTCTCCAGTGGTTTCATCAGATTTTTTTTCCAAATTTCAATGAAAAAAAATTTAATGAATAAAATGGGTTCCAGCCTAGAAGAGGTCAGGGAGGGGTAATATAACAGTGAATGCTAAACCATCAGAAGCTCGTGTAACAAATACCATGAGACCTCAGGCTCCATCCATCATTTGCCATCCACTCCTTTTTTTTTTTTTTTTTTTTTTTTTTGAGACAGAGTCTTGCTCTGTTGCCCAGGCTAGAGTGCAATGGCATGATCTGGGCTCACTGCAACCTCCACCTCCCTGGTTCAAGCAATTCTCCTGCCTCAGCCTCCTGAGTAGCTGGGATTACTACTCAGCTACCACACTCAGCTAATTTTTGTATTTTCAGTAGAGATGGGGTTTCACAATGTTGGCCAGGCTGGTCTCAAACTCCTGACCTTGTGATCCACCCACCTTGGCCTCCCAAAGTGCTGGAATTACAAGCATGAGCCACTGTGCCCGGCCACTCTCCATCTTGATGCCTGATAAACTCACATTCTAGAAAAGCTAAACAATAGTTGAGGAAGCTCTGGAATCTTGCCTCAGAACTTCCAAGGAATGATTCTGTGGCTGTGTCAAGTCATCTAACTTCGATATTCCTATATCAAAAGAACTGACAAAAATGCTGAGCACCCAAGTACCATGACAAGATAAAAATATAAAGAACAAACCTGTTCTGTGTACTGATTGCATAGAATTTTAGGTCTAAAAGAGTCCTCCAAAATCAGGCCATTCATGTCCTTCACTTTACAAATGAGGTCCAGAAAGATGAGGCAACTTGCCCAAGGCCACACATCTGGCTATGGGCAAAAGTACAGCTGAAATTCAAGATCCCTGCAGCTGAGGCAGTGCCTTTTCCACTCTATAGAGGGCAGGAGTCCACTGGCCGTTGGGCAAAACCAAGCAGGCAGGGCGTGTTCACTGGTTATTTTTTTCTCTACAACCACATATACACAAAAGGACAGAAAACCCCTCTTACCATCATTTTCAAAGACACACATTCTTAAAATTGTTGATAAAGAAAAGGTTTGGGAATGGGATGGAAATTTTACAGACTGTAAAATTAAAAATAATGAAGCTAAAAACAATTTTCAAACATGTTAGACCTAAATATACATCCCAAATATCCCAGGATGGTTCCCACTTCAAATGTTCTGTGCCATGGTTTCATAGGCGCTGTTGTAATTGTCACACCACATAGCCCAATTTTTGGTCCAGGATACCAGATCATCTTACCTATCTACCAAATCCTGCTCATTTGCAAATAGATACTGGTATCTGCTTGTGGACTATAGCATAGGCATGTGTAGGTGCACACACACACACACAGAGTTCCTTTTAAAGACTTACTGCCCTTCTTTTTTTTTTTTTTTTTTTTTTTTTTTTTTTGAGACAGAGTCTCACTCTGTCCCCCAGGCTGGAGTGCAGTGGCGTGATCTCGGCTCACTGCAAGCTCCACCTCCCAGGTTCACGCCATTCTCCTGCCTCAGCCTTGTGAGTAGCTGGGACTACAGGCGCCCGCCACCACACCCGGCTAATTTTTTTGTATTTTTAGTAGAGACAGGGTTTCACCGTATTAGCCAGGATGGTCTCAATCTCCTGACCTCGTGATCTGCCTGCCTCGGCCTCCCAGTTTACTGCCCTTCTTAAAGCTGAGTACGGATGCAGTGGGGTAGGACCAGGAGTTTGCATGGCCCTTTCTTCCCTCCAGACAATGTCAAATCATGTCTTTCCTCTCTAGGGAAAGGTGAAGAATCATACCCAGACCTTCTGGCTCTGTTGATCGCGGTCATCGTGACCATCATTGTTGCTCTGGGGGTGAAGAATTCCATAGGCTTCAACAATGTTCTCAATGTGCTGAACCTGGCAGTATGGGTGTTCATCATGATCGCAGGCCTCTTCTTCATCAATGGGAAATACTGGGCGGAGGGCCAGTTCTTGCCCCACGGCTGGTCAGGGGTAAGTTTGTTCCAAACACCTGGTGTGCCTGTCACACACTCTGCCTTCTACCCTGTGACCAACCTAAGACATATTTTCAAGAAAATGCTGTTCTGTTCCATAATTACCACAGCACCCTCTTTATCACCTTTTGATCTTAATTTAGTTGGAATATCCTGAAGAAGTGGTTCTTGTGTGTTGTTTTTTTTTCCACAGGCATTTGTTAAGATCTTATTTTATACAAATAATAATAATAGATTCAATGTTTTGGCAACCTGCAATTGCCTAAAATTGTGCTAAGTGTCTTTGCACGTACTATCTCATTTAATCATCCTGATAATCTTGTGAGGAAGATATTTACATTCTGCTCTTAAAGATGAAAAAAACTCCCATTCAGAGAGTTCAAATGGCTTACTGTTAAACACACAATGTAAGTGGCAGAACCCAGTCAGCCACGACTGCCTGGCTCCAAAGTCTGTGCAAGAACAGCTCAGTTCTATAGAATTATGTCTACAATCTACTAAGAGAGATCAAGAAGAACATAAATACACAAGGCAATAAAGGAGGCCAGGGAAAGGGGACAGTAGGGAAGGGATGAGTTTTGCCTGGGTATGACACTAGGAAAATAACAGTTTTTAATTCCAATGTCAGCATTTGACTCTAGGAGGAGAGTCCTACTGAGGTCAGAGGACAGCTGAGCTGGCCTAATGGAGGGCTGTGCTATAAATCCCATTCCAAAGGCATAGTTCATAACAGGCAGGTTTACCTGGTGTGGTCTAGGGGTTAGCAAGAGCATGGGCTGGACCAAAAGGATGTTTTCAGATCTCATTCCATGATCTGGCTAGTGCGGTTTATGCTAGAGAAAAATAGGAAGGTCAGAGAGGCAAATTCTTTATACTGACAAGTGGCTGTGAGTTGCACCTGGTTTCTTTCTCTAGGATGACTAAAAATACTTATGTTGTGGATTTATTGGTGAAATTCACTAGCCCACCTCTTTTTCATGGTAGAACATAAATCAGAGAATTTTGAGCTGTCAGGGACCTTAGAGGTTACCTGGTCCTATCCGTTCATTTAACAGATGAACAACCTAAGGTCGAGAGAGGCAAGTCTGCCTAGAACTGATGACAGAAAGCAAGTCCAGGATTCCACCCACTTTGCTTTTGCAGCTTTTGCTTAGGCTGGTTTTTCTCCAACATGTCCAGGGATCAGAAATGTTTCTTGGAGAACACTCAAAATCACTTGTTTATTCCGAACCACGCCATGCCGTTCAATGCAGAGAAATAAGCAAGGAAGCAATTTAAGCCAAGATTCCTAGTCTTCTCCTTATCTATAAGAATTCCACAGAACTACAAAGTTCATCCCTCCTCTTTGAAATGAATAAATACTGAAACTGCTTAAACCCAAAAGAAGAGACAAAGAAACACTGTTGGCCCCATTCTGGATCCCCAGATCTATATTATCTTATGATACAAACTGTTCCTTTCCTATCATATAAGAGAAACAACAAATTACAAGACTGAAAAGAAGGAATGTTTTCCTGGAACTCAGTTGCATTTTCTTTTTTCTTTCTTTCTTTCTTTTTTTTTTTTTTTTTTTTTTTGGACAAAATAAAGCAATTAAATTGTTTTGTAGCTGGAGGCAAGGGGGGTCCCCAAGCAGTAAACTCCCCCGCGCGTGGGCTGAGAGCTAGGGCTGAGCTTCAGGTGGGTCTCCTGTTCCCTGTGCTCCCCTGCACAGCAGCCTCCCTCCCGGGCTCTGGGGGAGCCACAGTAGAGGCAGGCTGGGAGGGACTGCCGCAGCTCTTCACTTGGGCAGGACGTCAGAGGACTCGGATACCAGCTTCCCATCGCGGGTCTCAATCTTCTGCACAACCATGGCCCTGGCGGAGCCGGTGCGGCTGAATGAGCTGGAGCCCGCGACAGAGCCAAAGCTGGAGCTTAGGCCATAGCTGAGGCCAGGGCTTGTGAGGCCCCCATAGGCGGAACTCAGACCACCTGCATAGCCGCTGGTGGTCTTCCTATGGATACTCGTGTTCTGCATCCCAGACTCCAGCCGGGCTCTCCTCGCCCTCCAGCAGCTTCCTGTAGGTGGCGATCTCCATGTCCAGGGCCAGTTTGACGTTCATCAGCTCCTGGTACTCACGCAGCTGCTGCGCCATGTCCTGCTTGGCCCGCTGCAGGGCGGCCTCCAGCTCCGACCGCTTGGCGCTGGCATCCTTAACGGCCAGCTCCCCACGCTGCTCGGTATCTGCGATGGGGGCCTCCAGGGAAGCCCTCTGGCCTTTGAGGCCCTCAATCTCAGCCTGGAGCCGGCTGATGTTCCGGTTCATCTCGGAGATCTAAGTCTTTGTACACCGCAGGTCATCCCCGTGCTTGCCAGCCAGCGTCTGCAGCTCTGCATACTTGATCTGGTACATGCTCTCAGCCTCAGCCCAGCTGCGGTTGGCGATCTCCTCCTACTGTGCCTTGACCTCAGCGATGATGCTGTCCATGTCCAGGGAGAGGCTGTTGTCCATGGACAGCACCGCAGACGTGCCCGAGATCTGGGACTGCAGCTCCTGGATCTCCTCTTCATGCAGTTGCCTGAGGAAGTTGATCTCGTCAGTCAGCCCTTCCAGGCGAGACTCCAGCTCTGCCTTGTTCATGTAAGCTTCATCCATGTCCTTCTTGATGAGGACAAATTCATTCTCCGTTTCTGTACGCTTATTGATCTCATCCTCATACTTGTTCTTGAAGTCCTCCACCAGCCCCTGCATATTGCCAAGCTCCGCCTCCAGCTTCAGCTTCTCCTAGCCCAGAGCCTCCAGCTGCCGCCTAAGGTTGTTCATGTAGCTCTCAAATACGTTGATCCGAGCCATCTTCTGCTGCTGCAGGAGGCTCCACTTGGTCTCCAGCATCTTGTTCTACTGCTGCAGGAACCGTACCTTGTCGATGAAGGAGGCAAACTTGTTGTTGAGGGTCTTGATCTGCTCCTTCTCCTGGGTGTGCATGGCCTGGATATTGGGATCTACCTCCAGGTTAACAGGGCTCAGCAGGCTCTGGTTGAACGTGACAGTGGTGATGCCTCCTATGCCGCTGGCCCCACCATAGCCTCTGCCCAGGCCACCCCGGAAGCTGCTGCTGCTCACTCGGGAGAGGCTTGAAGAGCTGATGTGGGCACCAGGCCCATTCGTGTAAAAGCGGCTGCTAAAGGCCTGGGGGCCAGAGGTGGACACCTTGTAGGACTTCTGGGTCACCCTGATGGACATGGTGGAGGCAGGAGTGGAGTCAGGCAGGCTGAACCAGGCAGAGATTCCAGAAGGAGCCGAGAAGCTGCTTCTTGGTCCTCAGTTGCATTTTCATTGTAGCAGGAAAATGTCCTCACCATTTTCTTAACAGTATAAGAAATTATTGGGTCATGGACTTACTGGAAGACTTTGGCCATCAATTAACTTCTGTGCTTTCAGTTTTTCTTATCTATTATGTGGCAAAACTAATTGCACTACATGTTTGCAAAAAAACAGCAAAATCTTGGATGTTTTTATGTGCAGCTTGTTACGGTTGTCAATAGTTAAAACTACATGAGGAAGGAACTAGTTTTTATTGACTACCTGTTAAGTTCCTGGCATCGTATTCCATGAATAGTATCTCACCCTTAAAACAAAACTTTTGAGTGGTGCTGTTATCCCTTACTTAAAAGTGGAGAATCCTCATAGAGGCTGCGAAACTGACCTGACCTCACTTAGTCAGCTCTGGGGCTGGGGTTTCTGCCCAGATCTGTGTGACTCCAAAGCCCTTTCTACCAAAGCAGTACCTTGTGTATCACGCTCATTCTCTCTGAGTTTTCTTTAGTAAGTAGTAAGGTAATAAATCTAAAATGTTATACTTCCTTTAAACTTTCATGATGTCAGAGAATCTTGGAGGAACATTAAGAGATAGAAAATAGTTCAACTGACCCAGGCTGCATATGCATTGTTTATGAAGACATCCTGTCAATGCAATTCTAAAACTCTTCTTAATTACTTGATTGATATTTAATTTTCAAAATCCTCCTATTAGCTCACCCAAACGGCACACACTCTAGTTTAGGCCCCACTTAAAGACTGGAAAGAGTTAATATCCTCTGTGTAAATGTTCTTTACCCATCCTGAAGAAGATGGAGGCACATTTTAGCGTTGCCTTTAGCCTTGTGTTTTGTTCTGAGGCCTTTATTCTCTTTGGGGGTCTCCCTTTCCTTCTCAGGGGCTCCACATCCTTCCTCAATCAGGAGCCTGCCTCATCAAGGAAGGAGCTAACCATGCCAGCCTTGGGGTTCCCCACTTATACATCCTGGGTTCTCACTAACTTTCCTAAGAGAAGATCAGAAGTCAGGCATAAGAAAGAAATGAAGGACGCTTTTCCCAACATTGAACATTTTCTTTGTGACAAACTCTTTCATGTACACTTTTAATTTAATTTTCACAACAGCCCTGCAAAATAAGTACAGAGCTCTCCACTTTTACATGCAAATAGCTCAAGCTTAGAAAAGTTAAAGACACAGATCTAGATGGTAAGTAATAGAGCTGAAATTCGATCCCAGTCCTGGATGGGCCAAAGTACTTATTTACCCCACTGCCACCTGGGTTTGGGACCATGAACTGGTTATCTTTTTTTGCACTTCTGTTCACTGTCCTCATTCCAATCCAAGCCTACTGCCTTGAGTAGATTTGTCATTGGCCAAGAAAAAAGTTTGGCTGGGATTGTGAATGTTTTGCTGCAATTCCATTATCCCTAAAGGAAACTTGGGGATGATATATGTCCTAGTGAATGTGCCTAAAAGTATCATCTGAGAACAAAGGACAGCCCAGTGTGAAGATGTTGCTGATTCATCCTCTCTGCACTCTGCCTGGCCTTGGATTTCTACGTAGTACATTTCCTTCCCAGTGAATGGGCCTGGACCTGTTATTTCTCAACTTTGGTTTCAGGTCACTTTTCCAAAGTCCAGCAAAGTCATTTTGAATTTAGACCCTATTTTTTAAGGTCTGACACTGCCTCATGAGCATGTCATACACCAAGGTAATACACACATTCCTCGCTCTGTTACCTAAAAATCGTCTACAGAAGTGTGTTGCCTCGTCAACAGATACATGAACTTCTTCACTCCTTATCAAAACCCTTACCTCTACCCCTGACTAGGGGACTAGTACAGAGGTCCAACCCACTTTATTCTTCAATTGCTTTAGGTAGGATGGAATGGAGGAAACCATTGTATAGGAGATGATTTATAAGAATAGCATGACATGACTTTCCACACAATTCTCAAGGACTTTGAAAGAGTTAATGAACAATCCATCCTCTAACCAGGGACCCCTCATAAACCTACTCTTTCCCCTGCTCCAAACACTTCCTTCCAAAGAAAATAGCTTAAGGAATGGTTTACTCACTTACAGGTTCTGGGTCAAATGCTTCTGTGGTCTTGAAGAGTTTAAGAACAACAAACATTTTTCCCTATATCAAGTAACTCTGGCCTTCAGCTGAACCCCTGCTTCCATCTGCAATTCCTCAGCCCTTGAACATTGCTGGACGCGTGTTCCCTTCATGTTATTTGTTCTTGATACTATCTTATAGTTTTTCTTTAAGCAAATAAGACACTCTACCAGCACAAATAGCTCCCAGGAAAATGGTCCATAGCAATCATTTGTGGGGAATCCTGACAGCCTCCAAACAAAGGAAAAGTTGTTTTTCATGTTCTCCACATCTGAATCCATTTGTGGGAACCTATTAGCACATTCCACTGTCACTGGGGACAGGCTGCTAATAGAGCTGGGGCATGAGGGTGGTAGAAAATGCTGTGAAAAGTTGGAATTTTGTTGCCTAGAGAGTGAATAACATAAAGGCGCCTAATTATCTCCCAGGCATCCGGCAGACTGGCTGAGGCAGAATGTGTGAAGGCTGCCTCATCTGAATGCCTCTCAAATATCAGCAAGACGCAGGGGGCCAGTTTTTAGGGACCTCACATACTGAGTAGCAGGCCACTAATGACATTGCTTTTGACAATTAACTAAGCAGAAGCCCTCCAGCAACTGAGGCACGTGCTGCTTTCCCACAATGCCATTCTAGAGGGATGAACTCTGTTCTGGATCAGCTGGCTGAGTTTTTACACCAGGTTGACTTCAAACAACAATCTCAGCTATATCATCAAATACAAAGGTCAGTACTTTTTTTTGAGGCAGAGTCTCACTCTGTCGCCCAGGCTGGAGTGCAGTGGTGCGATCACAGCTCACTGCAGTCTCAACCTCCCAGGCTCAAGTAATCTTCCCACCTCAGCCTCCCAAGTAACTGGAACTACAGGTGCACACAACCACACCTAGCTAATTTTTTTCAATACTATTTTTTAATTTTGCAAAACATTAAAGCAAAGAGTTAGGATAACATACCAATAAACCCAGAAATACACATACACTTGCACACGAACACACATACACATATTTCACCCACCAATTTTATTCACAGATGCTCACCCCTAGGTACTGCACATGTGCTTTTATGCATGGAAGTCTATCCTAATTATAAACACCAGTGGTCAGATCTGAGATCTGGATAGAGTGACGTAGAAAACGGTTTCAGTGGTTCTTTGGGTAGAGACACCCATATACAGTTTCATTTCATGGGTCTTTGTATTTACCAACCAGGGACCATTTGCTTGCAAGGAAGAAAAGCTCATTCAAACCAACTCAAGTAAAAAGATGACCCTTTTTGCTAATTTTCTATCTTCTCTTTAATAATCTGTTTATTTCATCTATGTCTTGTTAGGCCAAGTTTGGTTTGACCCTGGTAGGTGTGTTGGTCTTTCTTCTCCATTTGCCTCCGCTCCCCAGACCTATTCTCCACCCTTCATGCCCTGTTCTCTGCTCCAGGTTGCTTCCTGTTGAATTTAGCCAGTGGGAAATACTATCAAGTCAGAAGGCGAGAAGAAAGCAAGGCCAGAGTATTTCTTCCTCGCTGCCTCCCAACCTTGGCACCACACTGGCTGTGCCTCCACAAGGCCGCTACTTCTAGGAATCTCTGCCCCATACCTCCAGCTCCCACCGGACTCCAGGACACCATTCCACCCCCTACACTTAGGCCTCAGGATGAGAGCTTCTCAGTGTTGCTAAGTCTCTGATGCCTCAGCATCCCTAGACACCTCCCTTAACCCTGCCTAAATACTCCCCAGACCTGCCTATAGTCCCTCATTGAAATTTTGTTTGAATCATCTGCGTTATTAATAAATTATCTTGACTGCCTAATGTGGTAGAACCTCCACATGTCCTGCCTTTGATCTGTCCAGTCTTTCTCCAACTGTACTTGCTTTCTAGTTCTACATATGCAAATGCAGGCTAAGAGACATCCTCTTTGCAAGTTTACTTCCTCTTTTCCCTACTTGATCATAATTAACTTTCTAATAGCTAATCATTATCAGTAATTGCCATCCCTTCTCTTGTTCATTTAGAGGAAAGTAGCATTTCTGTTTCATGAATAATATAGATGCTTATTAATCTTGTTGAGTTTGTTACCATAATCAAGAATGCATTTCGGATCTTACAGTATCCTCTAGACTCAATCTCTGTAAAATCAAGCTGGGTACTTGCTCATGACTATATCCCCATCACTAAGCACAGTGCCTGGCACATGGTAGCACTTAGTACACACAAGTCAAGTTCTAAAAGGAGGAAGGTAGGGGAGTAGAAGGAGGAGAGAAGGAGGAGGAGTTTGTGCCCTTGGGTGTCAACTGCTCTAGAAAAACTTAGAATTGTAATAATAATACTGGTGGTAAGAGCTAATATTTACTGAGCACCTACTGTATTATAGGACTGCAGTTTACTCTATTATCTCATTTTATCCTTGTAACAACACTATGAGCTAAGTGCTATTATTATCTCCATTTAAGTAAGAATGAAACTTAGGCTCCAAGAGGTTAAGAACTTGTTCTAGGTCACCAAGCTAATATGTGGCAGAATCAACCTGGGCCTGACAGTCTACAAAGTCTATGCTCCTAACTAAAGCCAGTCACTCCCATGTGTGTGGCCCTAGGATTTCCTCTGAAGCCTACAGTGGACATCACATTGACTCCAACTGCCGGTACTGCACATATTTAAAGGTGTCCTCTTCATCTTCCACTGAGTCTTCTGCTCTTCAAGTTAAACATCCCCAGGTCCCCAGTTCTTCCTTACGTGGCATGGTTCACAAACCTCTCACCTTTTTCTAAGATTGCTTTGCCCAAATTTATATGGTTGTTGTGCCAAGTCACTAAATGATTTACAAGAGGAGGGTATGTATGCATGTATATGTATGTATATGTGTTTGCATGTGTATGTATGTGTGTTTATCTGTGTTTATATGTATTTGCATGTGTGTGCATGTTTATGTGTGTACATATATGTGTCTGTGTGTGTAGAAGGGAAGAATAAATGTTAAAGGAAGAGAAAGCAGGACCTGTTTTTCTGGGTTTGTTTTGTGGGTACTTAGTACGTGTATATATTTATGGGGTACATGAGATGTTTTGATAGAGGCATGCAATGTGAAATAAGCACATCGTGGAGAATGGGGTGTCCATCTCCTCAAGCATTTATCCTTTGAGTTATAACCAATCCAATTACACTCTTTAAGTTATTTTAAAATGTACAATTATTACTGACTATAGTCACCCTGTTATGTTATCTAATAGTAGGTCTTACTCATTCTTTCTACTTTTTTTGTACCCATTAACCATCCCCACCTCCCCCCGTCCAGCCCCCAACTATCCTTCCCAGCCTCTGATAACCATCCTTCTACTCTCTGTGTCCATGAGTTCAATTGTTTTTATTTTTAGATCCCACAAATAAGTGAGAATGTGCAATGTTTGTCTTTCCATGCCTGATTTATTTTGCTTAACATAAAGATCTTCAGTTCCATCCATGTTGTTGGAAATGACTGGATCTCATTCTTTTTTATGGCTGCATAGTACTCAATTGTGTATATGTCCCACATTTTCTTTATCCATTCATCTGTTGATGGACACTTAAGTTGCTTCCAAATCTTAGCTATTGTAAACAGTGTTGCAACAAACATAGGAATGCAGATATCTCTTCAATACGCTGATTCCCTTTCTTTTGGGTATATACCCAGCAGTGGGATTGCTGGAACATATGGTAGCCCAATTTTCAGTTGTTTGAGAAACCTCTAAACTCTTCTCCATAGTGCCTGTACTAATTTACATTCCCAAAAACAGTGTACGAGTGTTCCCTTTTCTCCACATCCTTGCCAGCATTTATTATTGCCTGTCTTTTGGATATAAGCCATTTTAAGTGAGGTGAGATAATATCTGATTATAGTTGTGATTTTCATTTATCTGATTATCAATGCCTGTTTGCCCTCTGTATGTCTTCTTTTGAGAAATGTCTATTCAAATCTTTTGCCCATTTTTTAAATCAGATTATTAGATTTTTTCCTATAGAGTTGTTTGAGCTCCTTATATATTCTGGTTATTAATCCCTTGTCAGATGGGTAGTTTACAGATATTTTCTCCTATTCTGTGGGTTGTCTCTTCACTTTGTTGGTTGTATCCTTGGCTGTGCAGAAGCTTTTTAACTTGATGTGATTCCATTTGTCCATTTTTGCTTTGGCTGCCTGTGCTTGTGGGGTATTGCTCAAGAAATGTTTGCCCAGACCAGTGTCCTGGAGATTTTCCAAACATCTTTCCAAACATCCCCTAGGGGTAGTCTTACAGCCTATGATTGCGTTTGAAAACGTTGGATGAAAACAAAGTACAAAAAGGTGAATGAGTTCCCTAAGATATAGAGATAGCCAACATACTGATTTATTTATAACCCCGCTTATTTCCACAAAGGACTTGAACGTGTAGAATAACTCTGTTTTTATTGGGTTGCCTGTGCTTGTGGGGTATTGCTCAAGAAATTTTTGCCCAGACCAATGTCCTGAAGATTTTCCCCCAATGTTTTCTTGTGGTAGTTTCATAGTTTGAGATCTTAGATTTAAGTCTTCAATATATTTTGATTTGATTTTTGTAGATGATGAGAGATAAAGGTCTAGTTTCATTCTTCTGCCTATGGATATCCAGTTTTCTCAGCACTATCTACTGAAGAGACTGTCTTTTCCCCAGTGAATGTTCTTGGCACCTTTGTCAAAAATGAAGGAACTATCTTAAAGTGAGACTTTTCTTGATCAGGACTACTTAGTGAGCCAGCAGTCTAGCATCCGTTCATCCTTGAAGACCAGTAATATTTTCTAGATAAGTGAAAACAAGCACATTTCCAAGCCTGTGAACCTCCATGTATGATGAGGTGAGATCTATTTTCCCTCCTTGTCTGGAGGCCAAAGACGTTTTCCACACCACTGTATGAAAAACTTTGCTGTAGGGAAAGCAGGAGTTCTCTTTTCTTCTGGAAAGTAGCCATCTAGAGATGGAACTGCTTGTATTTTAGAAGTTCTTTCTACCTGACTTATTAGAATAGACCAGGAGTTTTTAAATTTTCTTGTGCCATGGACCACCTGGATGTTTGATGAAGCCTGTGGATCCCTTATGAGAATTGTGATTTTAAATGAATAGCCTAATTACACACGAATTCAAAGGAAATCAATTATATTGAAATGTAGTATTAAGTATTTTTAATTTTATTTTATTTTTATATTGTAATCTAGTAACAATGTGCTTCTCTATTAGGGATTTATATGTTAACCTCTATGTGTAATAACTATCATAATCTGAAAGAAGTAATAAGCATAAGTGATATTTCAAGATCTCTGCAACAACTCTCATATGAAGTGAAAATATCTGATTGCTATTGGTGACACAGGCACAGGTATTGTTAGTTTGTCACCTACATTCATAACTGAAAGAAATGCTAATTCAACTAGAAGGTAGTGAAAAACATATGCAATTCTTTACCAGCAAAATTTTTAGATGCCCTGAATTCCATGGCCTCCAGGATAAGAACCCCAGAGTAGAGGGTTGAAACATTAGAATCCTAGCTGAGAGAAACGGTAGGAAACACCAGCTCATTTTACAGATGAGCAAAGTTTGCTTCTGAAGGTTTGAGAAGATCTTTAATTTTGTGATGTACCTTACAGGTTCTAGTATTTCATATTTGGTCTTATTGAGAAGTCAGTGAGGAAAGTAAGAGTGACAATTTTGGACAAGTGTCAGCTTGGCACACGTTTTGATTTCCATCATTTATAAACTGAATGTGGAGAAAAGAAAAATAAAATGGTCCAGTCTGCAATGGGTCTCACCTCCTGGACCACTGGCTAGGGCTTGCTTCTTTTTCCCTCACCCCATACACACAAGTCCAAAAATATCTCTCACCTTCTAAAAGGACGTCCCTAAGCATTCAAAGAGGCACTTTTTTACTTAGAGCTAACAATGAAAATACTGAGGTGGGGAACCCTCATTTAAACTTCAATAGGTTCTTTCAAAGAAAGTAGCCACTCTTCAATGGAAGGTTTTCACTGACATTTTGACATATATAATACATTCCCAAACACCCCTGGAGCCATGTGGACTCCTGGCAGACAGACTGCCAGCAGATGTGAGCGGATACCATCCCCCAGCTTTACTCTGACCTCCTGCCTCGTGCCCAACTAGGTTATTCAAGCCCCAAAAGGAGCAACAAATAAACTGTCTTTACCATGTCTTCCCAGTGAAGACAATAGAATGTCTGAAGATCTGAAAATCTTTTATATCATTTTAGATCTGGAAGTTACCATAGAGCTGATCTGTCAGGGGTACTAACAGTAATTTAAGTAGGATAATTCTTCCTTATGCAGAAGTATCTGAATCCCCTACACTAAGAGCCAGAAGCATTTTTTTTTTTTTTTTTTGAGATGGAGTCTCCCTCTGTCGCCGAGGCTGGAGTGCAATGGCGCGATCTCAGCTCACTGCAACCTCTGCCTCCTGGGTTCAAGCAATTCTCCTGCCTCAGCCTCCTGAATAGCTGAGATTACAGGTGCGCGTCACCATGCCTGGCTAATTTTTGTATTTTTAGTACAGACAGGGTTTCACCATGTTGGTAAGGCTGTTCTCAAACTCCTGACCTCGTGATCCACCCCCATCGGCCTCTCAAAGTGCTGTGATTACAGGCATGAGCCATCGCACCCGGCCAATTCTTCTTATCTCTATTTACACATCATAAGAGAGTTGCCCACAGCCACACAGCTAGAAAGTAGAGGAGATCAGAACCTGCGTGTTTAGCACGAGTTCCACCATGTTACTCCCTCAGCCACTCAGTCATGTCTGCAGGGCATAGAGCAATTGCACTTTCCACATTTAAGACCCAGGTGCCACCCCGATCTTCTGAGTCTGACAAATGCCATCATCCACACAGGTGCTGCAAGGAGCAGCAACATGCTTCTACGCTTTCATTGGCTTTGACATCATCGCCACCACTGGAGAGGAAGCCAAGAATCCCAACACGTCCATCCCTTATGCTATCACTGCCTCCCTGGTCATCTGCCTGACAGCATATGTGTCTGTAAGTACCAGATGCTTGCGGGACCCTCCTCACGATGTGGCCCTGGCACTGAGCTCCCTTCTCTGTCAGGAAGGAGTCCTTTCCTATGTCTTCTTGGTGTCTGTCTTTTGTCCCCTGTAGCCCCATTCCCCACTCCCCATGACAAGAAAAAAATTAGGACTCCAAACTGAAGAAGAGGAGAAGCCCCAGGACTTCACTTCAGCCTTGGCCTTCATTCCCACCCCTCCATCCTCACAAGCTCTTGGTGTCTGCTGCTGCCCCAGGGGCTGGTGTGCAGGGAATGGGCTGCCATCCAAGGAGCTCAGGTCATAGGCTGGCAGTAACGGGTGGATGTGCAAGCAAAGGCATTGTGGGCCTCTGTGCACTTTCCTCAATGCTCTTCTGTCTTCTGGGAGCTTCCCGGCAGCAAAGAGGCGAGGCTCCCTGCACAGCGGGGAGAGAGAATACATTGTCCTCTACAAACTCTCTTCCCCTTAAATCTGGGGAGGAAAGTGCCATTTCTTTCAGCTGTTGCTCCCTCTTGTTACACCAGCTCAAATTCACCTTCAGGTATCCCTACCTAGGGGAGCCTCAGGATAAAGACTTCAGCCTTGTCTTCCTCAGGATCACGCCCCTGAGACACTCCTCATGCTCTGATGCTTGCTCTCGGAGCTCCCATCCCAGAATTTCTATCACAGAAATAGCCCAGCTGCATCCAACATCCCCCTCTGCCCCTGGCAATGGAGAAAATTGGCTCACAGGCCAGGAAGTGTGTGGTTCCACAAACATTCTCAGGTCCTGAGGGGCGCACTCACTTGGGTCACCACAATTAGGAAAGAGCTGGCAGTGGGGGGTGCTGCTGCTGATCAGCCCTGCTGTTTCTCTTTCCCAAAAAAGACATCTTTAGCAACTAGCTAAGGAAGCCAGACCAATTGATCATTAAGGCAAGCTGCAAACAGGATTGTTCTAGAAGCCAGAGAAAAACACAGGGCAAACTTGAGGGTCGTTTACAGACATTCAGCTGCCTACCCAGAGGTTTTATGGGTGCCTCAATTATCACCTCCCACTAGCACACACATGCAAGGGGTTTCATCGTGTCCATACATACCCTGATTATCCCAGTGGGCAGAATGTTGAGGGAGGGGTTGCGGGGCAGAAGGAACAGCAAGGACACTCTGCATTTCCCCTTCTACTCCTCCTTCATTCCCGCCCTTCCTCCAGGAGTGGGCCCTTATCACACACAATAAAGTCAATCATCACAGTGCCCTCCTTAGAATAGCACTTTATAGACCACAGAGTACTTCTATGATCCACCAACTTTTTACCCATCCTGATCTAACTCAGGAGACTCCCTGAAGCTGGAGGAGGCTCAATCCCACTCTCCTCCAGCCCACCCTGCCCCATCCCCAGAGGAAATATTGCAAGTGGTTATGTTACTAGGAAACATTCTCTTTCATACTGCACAGGCCTTAAACACGCCCTAGGAGCTGTTTGGTCTTGTACTGGTCAGCAGGCAGCCCCTCCCCCACCATGAGAAGAACAAGGTTGCTGGGCTTTGCTAGGACATCCTGTCCTCCTTGGTGGCCCTTGGCTCCACTGGAGGATCTTGGCTCCAGAGGAATAGGCAAAGAAATGGTCTACATGTGACCACCCTCTTTCCTTCAGGCTTTGAATCCCTTCTTGATGTCAATTTGGCCTTCATAGGCCTGGGGGGCCCCCCATATCTGGCCATATGACTGGTGGCTCCATTGCCTATGGCCAATTCTGAAGGCAGGGATGTTAGGCAGATCAATAATATGCGAGGGGAGTAGGTCCTGGGAGCCCCCAGTTAAGTGCTTATCACCTCCCCGATGCACATGCATGCCAGTGGCTTTGTCCTGTCCATACCCTGATTTCTCCCCGTAGGCAGAGTGTTGAAGGAGGGGTGGTAGGGTAGAGGGAATAGCAAAGACATTCTGCTCTCTATTTCCTCTTCTGCTCCTCCCTCGCATCTCCCTCTTCTCTGGGGGTGGACCCTTATAGCACACACAGTAAATGATTCCTGATTAAGCAAAGCCATAGTTGTCTGACAGCCATATAATCAGTAGGACTTGATTCTGTCCTGATGCCATCATTTGTCTGTTGGCCTGCCTGGATCCTAGGACTAAGCTAGAGAAAGGAAATAGAAATATGAGTCCTTATCTGGGTCCCAACAGTTAATAGGCTATAGACCTCTTAAGCACTTATCTTTGGAGATTTTATCTCTGGTGTTTCACAGTGAGAGGGAGTACGGATAAAACCCTGTAGGACCAGAAAGCAGAAGAGAAATGAGAGTCTTGTCCACGTGGGCAGGGTGCTCATGGTCCCTGCCAGGCCCTGGTTGCAGGGCATTGGCTGCAGCTCCTTCCTTCCAGAAATATCTGCTCTCCACTGAACTGTTAGCATAGCTCTGCTCATGGGGCTGAAATACCTGCAGACTTACTCCTCAGATATCAAAGGACCAGAGAGATAGAGAGTTTCTGGCCCAGTCCACTAAATTCACATGTGGGGAAATAATATTGAGCAAGGCCTAGAGGCCAGATGACTGGTCTACAGTAAAGGCACATGCCAGCAAGTGAATGGATCCAAACTGCCATGCAAGCCTCTGCCTCCAGGGGCAGGGCTCTTTCCTCTCCCGTGGGGCCTCTATCCATGCTGTTCTTCCCCTGTACCTCCAGCCCTGTCTTCTCTTGTTTTAACAGGTGAGCGTGATCTTAACTCTGATGGTGCCATATTATACCATTGACACGGAATCCCCACTCATGGAGATGTTTGTGGCTCATGGGTTCTATGCTGCCAAATTCGTAGTGGCCATTGGGTCGGTTGCAGGACTGACAGTCAGCTTGCTGGGGTCCCTCTTCCCGATGCCGAGGGTCATTTATGCCATGGCTGGTGACGGGCTCCTTTTCAGGTAAGGGCTATGCTCCATGAAATTTATCCTGCTCTGCCACGTCTGTCCAGGGAGAATGTCTACCCACTGTCAGACTGACTGTGATTTTGACATCAGTGCCTTTCACATGGACTGTGGACCTTGTTATGTATCCTGAAGAAAAGTCTGAGTAACAGAGCTCAGGCCCTGAAGCAGCCCCTAGTTTAACTCTGCAGTCCCTTAATCCAGCACAAGCTGATGTGTGTCCCCCCACTGTCCTCCCTCCTGTCGACATTGCGTGCTCCTTTGTGAAGATGATGGGGCCAAACTGCTGTACTGGGTGGCCTCCAGAAGGAAGAACCATCCTAGGGACATCTTAGGCCTGCCCTCACATTGAGGCCTGGTAACTGCCCCACTCTCCACAGCCCCTCTGAAAATGAAAAAAAAAAAAAGTCAACAAAGAGTAGATAAGACCCTCTGAACAGATCCTAACAATACCTGCAACACCAGCTGCCATTTATTGAACATTTGTGTGTCCTGGGTGCTGTGTATACAGTATCCCATTTAGTCCTCACAGTAACTCTATTTTGCATATGAAGTCTACTAGGACTCAGAGAGGTGAAACAAAATTGCCACAAATCCCTCAGCTACTGAGTGGCAGGTCAGGATTTGATCCCAGAACATCCGACTCCAAAAATCAGACTTTTAACCACACCAATATATTGGCAGTTCTTGCCCCCTACATTGGCCATGAAGTGGCCCATCTGCCCATGGTACAAAGGGGATGTGGCCCCAGCCCTTTGTTTCCAGCATGAGGGGCCTGCTGAGAAGGCATTCTTCAAGTGCACAAAGCAAGGAGTAAACCGTGGAGGCCAAGGAGCTCTCAGGTGTGCAGAGGGGGCCGGTTCAGGGACTTTGTCTCTGCAGACATCATCTTCTGACTCATTTCCCCTGCATACTCTCTGAAGCCATCACCAGATCAGAGCTGCTGTGATTAGGTTGCCGAACAGATCAAGAGGGGCCTAGGGTGATGGAGGCGTGGGAACTTCACACATCCAAAAGATTTTTCTGCTGTCAAAGAAACTAACAGGAAAGATACTGGGGCTTCAAACACATTTACAGTCTTGTGTGAACCATAAAAATAAGGGACCAGGAGGAGAGGGGAGAGGAGAGGGAGCCTATTGCACATGCCATTCAGTCGCTCTTCTTGGTCTCTTCTTCAGTCAGTAACTAGCTGGACATAAATCTGTATCTACGAGCACAGTTTCTCAATTACTGTGCTATTTTGCCAACTAAACCCATGAACTTTTGTTATAGGTGGTGTCTCAAGCTTTGGCATAAATCAGAATCCTCTGGAGGTCTTTTAAAGCAGTTTGCTAGGCCTCACCCTACTATGATTCTGGTATAGTAGTTATTGGGTGAAACCTGAGAATATACATTTCTAACAAGCTCCAAGAGAATGCTAAGATGCTAGTTCACAGGTCAGGAGGACCCCCAAGCAGGTCCATGACTTCCTCCAACCATCACTTTTTCACGCAGAGCCTGGGCTTCAATCTAGGTTTCTGAAAGACAGACCTCCTAGGTTCAATCAACCCTTCCCATTACATAATGATTAGGAACTTTACTAAAGAACTTTGCCTTAAAATCAAAGAACTAGTCTAGGCACAGTGGCTCACACCTATAATCCCAACACTCTGGGAGGCTGAGGTGGGTGAATCATGAGGTCAGGAGTTCGAGACCAGCCTGGTCAACATGGTGAAACTCTGTCTCTACTAAAAATACAAAAATTAGCCGGGTGTAGTGGTGCATGCCTGTAATCCCAGCTACTCGGGAGGCTGAGGCAGGAGAATCACTTGAACCCAGGAGGTGGAGGTTGCAGTGAGCTGAGATCACGCCACTGCACTCCAGCCTGGGGGACAGAGTAAGCAGAGTGAGACACCATCTCACCAAAAAAAAAAAAAAAAAAGAAATCAAAGATTTAAAGTGAATTCTTTTTTAATTATATACCAAATCCTGGGGTAGGAATAGCAGCTGGATTTAAAGTAGTGAATGCAGAAGTAAATTGGTGGAGCAGGACCAGGAGGAGTTAATCACACCAGCCTATTGATAGTTCTAGCTCCCTATGTTGGCTGCACTGGAATCGGTCACTGTAGCTCACCATTAACCCTCTGCTTGCCCGGCCCCTCCAGGTTCCTGGCTCACGTCAGCTCCTACACAGAGACACCAGTGGTGGCCTGCATCGTGTCGGGGTTCCTGGCAGCGCTCCTCGCACTGTTGGTCAGCTTGAGAGACCTGATAGAGATGATGTCTATCGGCACGCTCCTGGCCTACACCTTGGTCTCTGTCTGTGTCTTGCTCCTTCGATACCAACCTGAGAGTGACATTGATGGTTTTGTCAAGTTCTTGTCTGAGGAGCACACCAAGAAGAAGGAGGGCATTCTGGCTGACTGTGAGAAGGAAGCTTGTTCTCCTGTGAGTGAGGGGGATGAGTTTTCTGGCCCAGCCACCAACACATGTGGGGCCAAGAACTTACCATCCTTGGGAGACAATGAGATGCTCATAGGGAAATCAGACAAGTCAACCTACAACGTCAACCACCCCAATTACGGCACCGTGGACATGACCACAGGCATAGAAGCTGATGAATCCGAAAATATTTATCTCATCAAGTTAAAGAAGCTGATTGGGCCTCATTATTACACCATGAGAATCCGGCTGGGCCTTCCAGGCAAAATGGACCGGCCCACAGCAGCGACGGGGCACACGGTGACCATCTGCGTGCTCCTGCTCTTCATCCTCATGTTCATCTTCTGCTCCTTCATCATCTTTGGTTCTGACTACATCTCAGAGCAGAGCTGGTGGGCCATCCTTCTGGTTGTTCTGATGGTGCTGCTGATCAGCACCCTGGTGTTTGTGATCCTGCAGCAGCCAGAGAACCCCAAGAAGCTGCCCTACATGGCCCCTTGCCTCCCCTTTGTGCCTGCCTTTGCCATGCTGGTGAACATCTATCTCATGCTAAAGCTCTCCACCATCACATGGATCCGGTTTGCGGTCTGGTGCTTTGTGGGTAAGCAACTTCCTTTGGAGCCTTAAGAGTTCCCTTTTAAGGTCTTAAGCATGCTTATCCCAAAATTACCTCCTAGCTGGACTAGGCAACTCCGTTCCCAGAGAAATCTGGCTGGTTCTATGGACCCTTGTGTTCCGCCTAAGAGTCAATAAAGCCAGTTGTCCCCTTTCTGCCTGTAATGTTCTTAGTCATTGGTTCTGGAAAAATGATGTTGATTAATCCATCGCTTTACTGAATTACTGAAAGTTCTTTCTATATCAGGATAATTAATACCAGAAAAAGTCCACTTAAAGTGAATCCACATTTTTAAGGTGACAAAAATAGCATAGTATAATTGGGGTCAGGGCATTTGGATGGAATTTTATCATAGAAACTAAGAATTGTAAAATGAAAAACTATCTTAGATTTCACAAAATTAAATTAAAATAGCAATTATGCTCTCATTTTTAAATGAACAAGGTGTGAATTAAGTGTGGATTTTTTGGCATAATTTTTCTGACAAAATTGAATCATGGCATCATTTAACATCTCTCACTTCATACTGACTTTTGTAAAATATTCAAAAGTTTTTCATATTTCCCAAGGTCCTTTCTTCATTCATTGACATTCCAATCATTCACTTGGGAAGTACCCATCATGCCACCATCCTTACTGATTTTCTCTCTCCTGCTGGTAATAACTAATATGACTCTGTTAGGTCCTCAATTGTCTACAATTTTGGGTGTGAATTCAAATTGTTCTCTAAACTCACTTTCACGGACTTCAAGAAGTCCTGTACCTTCTCTAAGATTTCTAATTTTACTTTGTGATCCATTTCTATTGTATTTGCAGTACTTGCTTATCATCTAGGACAATCTCTGATGTTCATGAGGTGGCTGGGGATTGATGCTAGTAAGAACTTGAGAAGTGTAATGGAAGACTCATTTTAAAGTTCCTTAGTCACTATTTGTATGTCCTCTGAACAACTTGGTAACCCTGGGGTCTCTGATAACAAATTCTTAGCTAAAGAGGATCTTTAGAAGCTCTGGGGAATAGAAGAGTAAACCCTGCCTAAAGGAGAGGCAAGACAAACACACGAGTCACTTAGCCCAAGAGAGGCCAAAGAGACTCTTTTTGTTGTTGTTGTTGTTGTTGTTATTTGTTTGTTTTGTTTTGTTTGTTGTTGTTGAGATGGAGTCTTGCTGTGTCGCCCAGGCTGGAGTGCAGTGGCTTGATCATGGCCCACTGCAACCTCCGCCAACCAGGTTCAAGCAATTCTCCTGCCTCAGCCTCCTGAGTAGCTGATATTACAGGTGAGTGCCACCATGCCCTGCTAATTTTTGTGTTTTTAGTAGAGATAGGGTTTCACCATGTTGGCCAGGCTGTTCTCGAACTCTCAACCTCATGATCTGCCCACCTCAGCCTCCCAAAGTGCTGGGATTACAGGCATGAGCCACTGTGCCCAGCCCACAGAGACTCTTAGTGATGAGTGGCAGTGCATCCACTCCTAGAGATCAGGAATACACTTGTTCAACATGTGTCCTCCGTGTCTGGAGCAGGGTGCCCGCAGTATGTGCTCAAAAATACTTCTTAAATTATTATAAAGTACTCTTCAAAGGGGAAAAAGGAAAACTTCCAGTCAGAATTGCCAGAAAAAACTTGGAGGGGGTAGAATACAAAGTGGCCCTATAAGTTAAGATATAGATAGAAAGAAGTGGGGGAAAAAGTAGCAACCAATGGAAAGGGCATATGTCTTCCCCAGAGGCCTGACTCCTTGCTTCTGAAGGCTGCTCTATGGCTTCCTGTAAGCATTTTGTCCCAATTTTTCACTATTCTAAGTCCCCCTGGTTAGACTTCAGGAGGATTTCTTGAGAGGACCCCACTGACTCATCAAGATTTTAACCAATTTTTATAACACATTTACAATCTCTTGGCTGGGCATAGTGGCTCACGTCTATAATCCCAGCACTTTGGGAGGCCGAGGAGGGCAGATCACCTGAGTTTAGGAGTTCGAGACTAGCCTGGCCTACATGGCAAAACCCCATCTCTATAAAAAATGCAAAAATTAGCCAGGCGTGGTGGCAAGTGCCTGTAATCCCAGCTACTTGGGAGGATGAGACAGGAAAATTGCTTGAACCCAGGAAATGGAGGTTGCAGTGAGCTGAGATCACACCACTGCACTCTAGCCTGGGAGACAGAGCAAGACTCCATTTCAAAAAATTTTTTTAAAAAAATTAATATTTTAAAACTTTTTAAAAAAATACAATCTCTTATCTCTAAACATTTTTCCACTGGAACATGTAGCTAGCCAATGCAGATTCTACTCTGGATAGAAGTGATGGAAGTGGGTAGAAATATTTCAGTCATGTATTTGTCAAATTATTCAAGACACAGACACAAATATACATAGACTTATTTATTCATAGACTATTAAAGCTGAAAAGGGCCTTCAGTGTCTAGTACAATGCTACCCACAGTGTGGTGCCCATTCCATTGGTAATATTTTCAACTGGTATTAGAAAGCATATGAATGAACTTTTAAAAATATTGTACAGTTATTGTACATTTTCACCTGGGTTAGAAAAACCACACATACACATGAATCTGGTGATTTCACAAATACTATTACTTGGAAAGAGACTATAGATGACTTTTTTAAATTTAAAGTGTGAGTCATATTAAAGAAAAAACATTAGTACTACTAGTACAGATACCGTATGATTCATAGGAATAGTAATAATGAGCACTTGTACCGTGCTTATCACATATCAGCCATTATTCTGAGGGCTTCACTTACTTATTTATGTAATCCTCACAGCAATCTCTATTTTACAGATGAGGAAACTGAGGCACTTGCCTGAGGTCACATAGCTAGAATATAGCAGAGCCAAGATTAGAACTCAGGGAGTGTGGGGCCAGAGGCCATGGTTATAGCCTAAATGGTTATATACTAAAAATGTGGTATATAACTAACTGGAATTGGAGAAATACAGATGTAGTCCACCACCTTCCCACTTCTCCCTCTCTCCATTTAATGGATGACTAAACTGAACCTCCAAGAAGTTAAATAACATGCTCAAAGTCAACAGGAAGTTATTCAAAGAGCTATTACTAAAACTCAGTATACCCATGCTCAAATCTGGGGCTCCTACTACCCCACCAGGGTGCCTCTGAGCAGACTCATTTCATTAGAACGTTCGATAGAGCCTAACACATAGCATCAGGGCTGGCCTCATGGGCACACAGCTGTGCACAGGGTCCCATGCTTGGTTTAATGCTCTGCTGCTGCCATCTTGAATTCTTAATAATTTCTGAACGAGAGGACCCATGTTTTCATTTTACATTGAAAACTCTATAGCCAGTTCTGCAGAATATTTATGGCTCCTGAAGCACCAGAGGCATTTTGCAAAAACAGTCAGGTGGCAGGGGCCCTTACCTTTGGAGTCAAACAGCACCAACTTCAAATCACAGCTCTGCCCCTCCTTTGTCTTGTGACTTTGGGAAATTTACTTAACTTCTTTGGGCCTCAGTTTACTTATCTGTAAAAATGCAGATAATTTTATCAGCCTTGACCTGGTTATTCTTTGGGGCTTAAATGAGAAAATGTTGAGAAAAGCAACAAGAAACATGTATTTCCTGCCTTTCTTTTAAAAATCTGAAATGATTCATTGTCCACAAGTATGGACAGACTGGCTATCATATGCCAAAGCACGATGTGAACCTGCAGCGACTCAGGCTGCCCTTCCAGCTATCAGGCAGAGGAAAACTCCCTGAGCGCCTTTTGTAATCTTGCTGATAGCACAAACTCCAAACTCCCTCCAGAAACTGCTACTCGCTGACTCAAAAGAATGCCACCCTGCAGAGTGGGGCTGGCCAGCCAGAGGGCACAGAAGTCTGCAGTTCAACAAGCACCCGGTGATTCTGATGCACAGCCCGCAAATCACATTTGGGAAGGACTGCTAGTATTTCTGGGCACCTGCTGCTAACTGCTTTAGTATCATGATTTTTGAAGGCTGCTATATGACTAAGTTTCACCCAGAACAAAGATTCTCAACCCTAGCTACACATCAGTATCACCCTGGGTTGCTTCTGAAACATTCTAAGCCCAGGCTTCCACAACAGAGATTTTCTGATTCAATTGGTCTGGTGGCCGAGTATTGAGGAATATTTTTTAAGTTCCCAGGTAATTTTAATAGGCAGCCAAGTTGACAATGATCTAGATCAATGGTCCTCAATGTGTGACCCCAGACCAGCAGCATCAATGTCATCGGGGAACTAGTTAGAAATGTGATTTTGAGGCTGGGCGTGGTGGCTCATGCCTGTAATCCCAGCACTTTGGGAGGCCAAGGTGGGCAGATCACCTGAGGTCAGGAATTCGAGACCAGCCTGGCCAACATGGTGAAACTCCGTCTCTACTAAAAATACAAAAATTAGCCAGGCGTGGTGGCGGGCACCTGTAATCCCAGCTACTCGGGAGACTGAGGCAGGAGAATCTCTTGAACCCTGGAGGCGGAGGTTACAGTGAGCCAAGATTATGCCACTGCACTCCAGCCTGGGCAACAGAGCAAGACTCTGTCTCAAAAAAAAAAGAAATGTGATTTTTGAACTCCACCCCAGGTCTACTGAATCAGAATCTCTGAGAGCAATTTAGGGTTTAACAAGCCCTCCAGCTGACTCAAATGCGTGCCACTGCTCTAAGGGGAGCATAGTTTTATCAAGCAGGGCAGACAATTTAATTACAAAGACTTGTTTTTCAAAAACTATTTTTTGCATATATAAAATATATCCAACCCACAATCCCAAACTGGCTATAAAATCCTTAATGGTCTTATAAGATAAATATGTCACCTCTGAACTTCTGAGCCTCCAAGATATCAGATTTTTCTTAATCTGTCTATACATAGTGTAACTTTCTGGGGGAAAACAGTAGAGATATTTTTAAATGGAGCTGCTTATGAAACTGAAGATTTACATGATTAGGCTGAGTCATAACTTGATAAACTTCTTAAGACACATTTTTTTATCCAAGCTTTTCTAAATAAATCTTAATTGCGGCATTTTTGTAACAATGTTTTGCTAAGCTTTTGACCTTCAGAAGAACACAACTCAGAGAGTAAAACGAGGCACAAGCCCCAACAAGATTATCCAGCACATGTTTCTTTTCCTTCAGACAAGAAAAGGAATACAAACACCAAATGTGTATTAATCCCAGTAAAGTGAGCACAAAGCAGCCTTCATTTTCCTTTTAGTTGATGCAGTTTTGTGAAAGAACCTCTCAAGGGGTTGGGCAGAGTCTCAGGGAACATGGAACTAGCAGGGGCTCAGTGAGAATGCTGCACCATGGTATCTTCCAGGGCATCCTTCGGGCCTGCTGTTCCCTGCGGGTTTTTATTATAATGTAACCACCTGTTAGAATAGCTTGCCCTTACCATAGGATTTGCCATGTAGGAATTTTTTCAGTCTTTCTGAGGAAATCAAATTCTTGTCTGTAGATTTAGAGGACAGGACTTGTGATACGGGCAATGGACCTCATGAATCCTATCTCAAAATAGAAATATCCCAAAGAGAAGACACACCTCATGGTCTATACCTGAGCTATTATCTGAAATCCAACTGGAAATTGACCCAAAGCAGCCAGGTGAGAAAAAGAAGAAGAGGGAAAGAAAGAGCAATGAATTGGGACCTGATAACTAAATTCTTGATGACATGTCCCATAAATAAGCTTGAAATTCTCCTTGGAGGCAGAGGAAAAAAAAACGGGCTCTTCCAATGTCAAAATTGTGCTCAGACGAGCAAGAATAATCCTGAAGGCCAGGATGAGGTTGGCAACAGGGCTGGTGGGATTCCAAGGAGGGAGGGTGAAGGTAGAGTGTGAAGGTGGATCATGCAATCGTGAGGCTGTCTGCTGGCAGAGGTGCACTGCCAGATGCAGAGCGGGCGGAGCACTCACAGGGCTTTGCAATCAGTGGCAGCTGAGACACTGGCTCTCCTGTGATCCCAAAGAATGAAGAGGTGGAGGGCACAGAGCTGGCATGCGCAGCTTACCTGGAACAGAATTCAAGCCACAACAGAGGGGATGTTTGCCTTCTTTCCCTCAATATTATGTTTGTGAGATTCACGCCCATTGTTGCTTGTAGTTTCAGTTTGTTTGTTCTTGTGGCTGTCTAGTCTCCCACTGTGTTAATATACCACAATATATTATTCATTCTAGTGTCCAGGGACATTTGGGTTGTTTCTAGTTGAGGGCTGTTACAAACAGAGCTGCTGTGAACATTCTTGTACATGTTTTTGGTGGACACGCGGACATGTATCTCTTGGGTTTCTGTTGAGTTAGAATTGCTGGCTCAGACTACCAGGTTTTTTCATATTCTTTAACAAGATTGCATTACTTCTCATGGCCATTATATACTGCAAATAAAATAAGCATCCCCAACCCCGTTTTGCAGATGAGAAACTGAGACATAAAGTAGCATGACTTCCCATTAGATCAGCTGCAGGGTCATGGAGAGAATCTCCGCCCAACTTCATCCTAAGCCTGCTCTTCCTGGCCATACCATATTAAACAAGCCTTGTTGTTATTATAGTCAACAGAGTCGTGGTGGTATTTTAAAAAATAATCAGCAATAGTGGGAGTTGGTGGGGTTGAGGTGGGGGTGGGAAGGATACCTTCTCATTACCACCCAGTCTCCCTTTCTGCTTCGGCAAATGTCTGTTTTGGAAAGTTGATCCCAGAGTAGTCAAAATAAAAGCCCTCTAGGCATAACAAAGTGCCTCAGCTATCTGCAGTGGGCAGAGCTTCCTGCTGGAAAGTGCACCCCAGCAAGAGGCAGCTCCACCCAGCCTGAGGTCAGGTGGCCCACCTCTCTCGGTTCTAAGTATGGAGCTTCATGGAGAGGACAGGGAGTTCCCAGGAACTCTGGAGATAGGGGACCTGGTCTGCAACCTAAGTGTGTGCCCTCAGAGTTGGAAATATGCTGTTATTGTTTGCATTACTCAGTCTCTTCAGAGTTGAGTTTTTGTTCTAGGATTTCTCCTGTATGATCAAGACCTCCCTTTCCCACCTCTCTTTCTTGTAGGTTTGGGGTCATTTGCTTAATTTTCACAGGATGGATAAACACAGGGGGGTGAGCAGGTATGTCACCTGCTGATGCCAAGGTACCCTAGTATATGAACGCAAGCTTAGCTTTTGTAAACCTTCCCTGGAGGCACCTGGGTGGGACAGGAACAGCCCTCAGGTTAGAGTTAAGAGATATGAGTCCCAATGCTATTTCAATTACTGATTTATCACACAGTTCTTAACTTCCCTGGGATGATGGATGAGAAAGTGCTTTTTTTAATATATAAAGTGCATTACAACCACAAAGTATTTAATATCATAAAGAAAGCCCATTCAATTGCTAAAGGCATGATTCTTGATCTTGTCTAGCCTGAACTTCTCATAGACACATTTTCCACTGGGGAACTTCTGTCTAGAAAAGAAGCCAAAGCCTCCCTTTGAATATTTCCCGTCACTGCAAACAGACTTTCTTTTTTTTTTTTTTTGAGACGGAGTCTTCACTCTGTCACCCAGGCTGGAGTGCAGTGGCACAATCTCAGCTCAATGCAAGCTCTGCCTCCCAGGTTCACGCCATTCTCCTGCCTCAGCCTCCGGAGTAGCTGGGACTACAGGTGCCCACCGCCATGCCCGGCTAATTTTTTTGTATTTTTTAGTAGAGACGGGGTTTCACCGTGTTAGCGAGGATGGTCTCGATCTCCTGACCTCGTGATCCACCCACCTCCGCCTCCCAAAGTGCTGGGATTACAGGCGTGAGCCACCGTGCCCGGCCTTTAAACAGACTTTCATAAGACTAACCACCATTACCTTTGACCAGGACAGGCATGCAGCCCACGTGCCCCAGTCCAACCATGTCTGTGTTAAAATATTGAAACTTTTTTTTTTTTGAGATGGAGTCTCACTCTGTCGCCCAGGCTGGAGTGCAATGGCGTGATCTCAGCTCACTGCAACCTCCACCTCCTGGGTTCAAGCAGTTCTCCTGCCTCAGCCTCCCATGTAGCTGGATTACCAGTGCCCGCCACCGTGCCCAGCTAATTATTTTTTTTTTTTTAGTAGACGGGGTTTCACCATGTTGGCCAGGCTGGACTCGAACTCCTGACCTCAGGTGATCCACCTGTCTCGGCCTCCCAAAGTGCTGGGATTACAGGCATGAGCCACCGTGCCCAGCCAGAATATTGAAACACTTCTGTGTTTACTGCTAACTAGTCACTTTCCTGCACACACCACGCACCCCCACCATGACCCATCAACTCAAAAAAAATAATTCCAGCCCCACAGAGGAGCCTCCAGGACACTGCTGCAGCACAAAGGCTGACACCCTCTGATTTTTGCCATCACACCTGCCTTTAGTTTCTTACTGACATAAGTTATGTAACTACAAAGCAATGGCTCTAAGTTATCTGCTTTTAAGGTACAGCAGAATTAAATATCCAAATAGAATAAATAGTATTATTTGTGAATCAGCCATCTTATTCTTGAGGCTTGGTTTCAAATGACTTCTGGCTTATAGCAAAATCAAATCCACCCTCAAAAGATATTAGATTGCCCTCCGCAAGAGTTTACAAAAGTATATGATGCCGTTCCCAGTGACCATCTTGATTAGCGGTGCCCAAAAACTACTTCAAGCAATGATGGCATCATAGGAATACGTGTGTAGCCTCATAAGGTGAAGAGTTTTCCACACACATGTAATAATTTAGATAAATTTTAATACTGCTGGATATCAGATAATATTAAGAAATTATTATTAATTTTTAGTTGTGATGATACTGCTTTTTTTAGAGATGCATACTCAAATATTTACAAATTAAACCTATGATAGAAGGGATTTGTTTCAAAACAATCTGTAGAGAAGGGGTCAGGGGAGGGAGCATGAAGGGAGCTGGTGATTCATGATCCTATTCACTCCACTTTTGTATATGTTCTTCCAAATAAAACGTTAAGCCAAATTGTTTTCCATCCCTGGTAGGCGGGAGATGTAAGAGGGATAGAAGCGCCCTGGATTAGGGCATGGGGAGACCTGGAAGGATTCACTGTCCACCTGCTCACTGTGTGGCTGTGGACCTTCCCTTATGTTTTCTGTGCCCACTGTCCTGTTGTCCTGTCTGTGAAGTGTGCAATGCACATAATCACTCACACACACACACACACACACACACACACACCCCTTCCCAGACAGGTTAAAGGGAGTCTAAACAAAACAAGATACTGTTTGTGTAACATTTTGAGCTCTTTGGGACAAAGGTGCAACATCAACCATCCATCATTATCCTAACCCAGCACACAGAAATGCTTTGTGAAGTTTAGTTTAGATGATTCAGGATTCCCAGAACCCCTACAGATTTTTCAGAAACTACCTCATGCTTCATTCTCTAAGCCAACTAAAAAAAGGAGCAGAAACAAAACACCCTGCTTCCACACAGGAGGCGTGGAGCAGCTCTGTTTACTCCTCCGACACAAAGCCCTTGTTTATGTGGGACAGATGGTAATACGTTTCTCTTCTCTTCTCTCTCTCTCCCTCCCTCCCTCCCTTCATCTGTTCCTCTCTGTTTCTTTGTCCCCCTCCATTTTTCTTTTCTCCAATCCTTCTCAGTTTCACACCACTTTTCCTGAATTGACTCAAGGGCCAGCAAGAAAGATAGACACACAGAATGCCAAGCCCTAGGGGAACGGCTTTGCATCTACTATTTACTCTACCAGGCTGCATGCACACGGTCGTTTCTTGTTTCACAGTACTCACATTTGAAATGCATTTTTGAAGACAGAGTGATACACCTTTGAAACTCCAGGGGGTTCAGGGCAAACATGAAAAGACCCATAAATATTTATGTGGCAAGTTTCCATGGATTGTCTTCACAAAGTAAAAAGTAACCACAGTCAATATGTGAGAGCGCGCAGACACAGACACACACACATACACACACACACACACACACACACACACACATGTTCCTTCCAGGCCTGGCCACTCCCAAAGAACACATGTAAACCTCTTATCACATGTTTACTGCAGTGGGCATAGTCTGTAAACCAGCCTGGGGGAGGGGAGAGGAGGTGTGAAGGACTAGACACGCAAGAGACTTCTCTCCCTCCATGTATAAAGCTGGTTCCTCTCCTTCTCAGACCCAGGCAAGTCACTTATTCTTTCCCAGCCTCTGTTTCTTCTTCTGTAAAATGAAGGTTTTAGAATGCATAGGTGATCTATAGCATCTTTTCCAGCTCTAAATATCTATGACTCAAGGTTTTTAGAGAATTCCCATAATATGAATCTATCTGACACCCAAAATACCTTGTGGGGGCAGGGACAGGTCTGTTGGAATCGACAAACCAGTGATGAGTGATGTCAAACCAGTGACTGAACAATGACCTTTGTGGTGGCAGAGGAGAGACGTTTGGGGCAAAGGGAAAAGAAAAAGATGGTATTAAGTTCAGTAGGGAAATGAGTCGTCTATAAGCAAAGTCAGAGAAGGGCATCAGAAAGGAAAGAATTGGCATAATAGGTACCAAGCAGGAGTAGGAGGCAATATTTGGCATCTGCCTGGGTGTCTAGAAGAAAAGATGGCAAAAAAGCAAAGCAGTGCAAAAGGAGGTGTGCACAGGTCCTGCCTGGTCGCCTGAAATCCATTCTCAGATGCCAAACATGCTTCAGACAGAGGCATTCTCCAAGAACCAGCACACTGGCACTCTTAGAAGAGGCCTTAATGTGATGCCCTGTTCTACACAAGGATAATAACCATCCCCCATAGCCACCCCCCACCTACAGAAAAGAAAGAGTAAATACCCTGCTTTTAAAAGATGAATCATTATTTGAGCACTAATAGCTACATCTGCAAATAATTAACTCTAGGATTTATTACCAATTAGGACTATAAATCTGTGCTTACTTTGGCTCCTGGAAAGTTGATTTCACTGGGGAGTGTGGGAGGGAGGGGGGACAAAGTCATTTGAGACAAGGAGGGAGAAATCCAAGCTTAAAAAGGCACACTTCAAATTCAAAAGAGAGCAAGATTTCTCAAGCACCACAGCAGCAAAGCAGGCTTGACTTGCGGTTCTAAGCAAACCAGCCCAGCAGAAGCCTGCAGGGTTAGCAAAGTCAAAGAGACTGGTGCTACTCAGAGGAGGATGTTAGGGCCCGGGAAGGAGGTTGCATACTGTATGGACCCCAGTGCCTAGGCCATAGTGTGGGCTGAGTGGGCAGTGGAACACTGTGCCCATCAGGCACAGTTCATTATCTCAGGGACACTCTGACCATTGGAATCACCTGTGGAGTTTTAAAAACATACCTATGCTTGGGTTATACTGCAGACTAATTAAATCAGAATCTCCAGGATGGGGCTAGGGTATCAGAGTGGTTCAAAAAACACCCCCAGGTGACTTTCAAGTGCAGCCAGGGTTGAGAACCACCACTTACCTCATTTCATCCTCAAGCACTCCCATGTTAAGAGGGTTGCTATAGCTCTCATCGTTTTACAGAGAATGCTGAGGAACAGAGAGGCTAAGTAATGGGACCAGGGTTACACAGCTAACAGTGATGAAGGCAGGATTTGAACACAGAGCCCACAGTCTTACTTATCATGTTCTATGGACTCCAAGGTTATGGTTCCCAGACTTCCAGGCCCTGAACCTTCACAGTCTATTCAAGATAGAAAATGGGGACTCAGGCCAGGACTGATGGCTCATGCCTGTAATCCCAACACATTGGGAAGTGGAAGCAGGCGGATCACTTGAGTCCAAGAATTTGAGACCAGCCTGGGCAACATGGTGAAACTCCATCTCTCAAAAATACAAAAATTAGCTGGGCGTGGTGGCACATGCCTGTGGTCCCAACTACTCGAGAGGCCAAGGCAGGAGAATCGCTTGAGCCCATGAGGCAGAGACTGCAGTGAGCCGAGATCATGCCACTGCACTCCAGCCTGGACAACAGAGTGAGACCCTGTCTCAAAAAAAAAAAGAAAAGAAAAAGAAAATGGGTACTCATAAATGACTTTTATGCATGTTTTTTAAATCATAGAAATGAAACATTAGCATATATGAATGCTACATATTAACGAGGGGGGCAAGTTTCTTTCCTTTGATTGGGATGACATCAACACAGAGGTTGCACTGGACATTTCACGCTTATCAGGAGTTCTCACCCATTCATTCAACAAACATTAAGTGCCAATTTTCTGCAGAGTCTACGACCCTGTGCAGATAATCACACAACAGATGTTCTAAGGGACATAATAGTAGCATGCACTAGACACTCTGAGAGCACACAGAAGAAAGCAGGCAGCTTGGAGTGGCCATGATATATCACGCCTTTAGTGAGTGTAAAATGTCAAGGTAAATCACAGGATAATATATGCATGCTGCTAAGAGGTGAAACATGAGATAGAGTCCCTAACTGGAGGCAGAGAATAATCAAATCTTATAAGAACGTTGGGAATAAACTGTTGCTGATCCATAAATAGTTCACCCAGGGTAGAAAATGCAAATTCCTGGCTGGCAGCTATATGAGTGTAATGAGCCCGACGTCAGCATGGGAGGTGGGGACTGAGGTAACCTAGAGACCCTGTATCCTGTCTAAAGAGGCAGCCAGTTCTCAACACCAGCCAAAAATCACCATGTAGAAATGTGGATGCAGTGTTGTCAGACCTTTTGACTTTTCTAGGAAAATCTGTAAATATGGGTTACTTAACGCAAGATCTCCCAATTTTTAAAAGGCATCTAATTCAAGTATTTTCAAAACACCACATAAAGCAAAGAAAATACATCCCCGCCCCCACCGCCCCCCACCCCGCCAGCTTTGATTTCATCACTGAAGGTGATCTCTCTGCTAGTCCCAGGATCCCAAAGCAATTGCTTATTCACCTGTACCTTTCCCCTCGCCCCACAGGTCTGCTCATTTATTTTGGATATGGCATCTGGAACAGCACCCTGGAAATCAGCGCTCGAGAAGAGGCCCTGCACCAAAGCACGTACCAACGCTACGACGTGGATGACCCCTTCTCAGTGGAGGAGGGTTTCTCCTACGCCACAGAGGGCGAGAGCCAGGAGGACTGGGGCGGGCCCACTGAAGACAAAGGCTTCTATTACCAACAGATGTCAGATGCGAAGGCAAACGGCCGGACAAGTAGCAAAGCGAAGAGCAAAAGCAAACACAAACAGAACTCAGAGGCCCTGATTGCAAATGATGAGTTAGATTACTCTCCAGAGTAGGAGAAACACACAAGTGGGTAGAAATGGTGATGACTGATTTTCAGTAACTTAACCTGTGGGCTAGAAGGTGAAAACTTTTTTGGCTCTCATTTCACAAATCCAGCCTTCCCCAAATTCAATCCCTAGTCATAGCCTGTCATTTGCTACTTTTGCTCTTCAGGATAGTTCTGTTGAAGGGCTTAACCTGGGTCCCCTAACTGGTCGCCTTGTTAAATAAAATAAATAAATAAACAAGAGGCTATATGAAATTCCATCTTAGGTGCAACCACCAGAGCTGATGGTACCAAATGTTTCCTAGGCCTTTGCTTTGCTGGTTGAAGCCCAAGCAGGGGCTCTGGGCAGAAGGCAGAATTTCAGTCACCTGAGACATGGGGACAAAGCTCTGTTCTTGGCATGTCAGGCTGAGTGCTGCTCCCCGAGGTCAGGGTGGGTAGATGGGCATTGGCACTTCCTGAGCAAGCATCATTTTATCCTGCAATCTCACCCAAAATTAATTCATGGAAAAGACACATGCTTCTTTTTATTCACCAACATTCTCACAGCTTCCAAACTATAATTTTAGGATCCAGCAAAGTTCAGGGACTCTGGACCATTTTCCCAATGGTTTCAGATTCACCATAAAGCAGTCAGGCAGACCCAGTGATATGGTAAGAAGCACCATCAAAGCTCTATGTAAATGCCCAGAAGAAAATTAAATAACCATATCTTGCGGTAAAAGCCAGAAGGGCATTGGCAGAAATTAACTCTCTGTCATGGCCTCTCTTATATCAGACTGCAGCTCCTGGTGATATGATGAAAGCGGGCAAAGGTGGAGCATGATTTCATGGCACTGATATGCCTTGAAAAAGTAGGTTGTTTGTTTTATAATCAGATAAAAATTTTTACAAGGAGAAGTGAGCCAGCCACTGAGATCACATTGCAAATTCTCTTTCATATTTCTAAAATTATAAATTCTAAAGTTTTTGAGATAGGCAACCACTTGATTGGTGTGTGCTACTCTGAAAACAAAATAGGCTGAAGTATAGCGACTTAGGTAGTTGCATTCCATGAGATCACATTTCACTTCTGAACCTTATTCCTTGGGGCTAGCTCACTTTCAGAGGTGTATTTTTTTTTCCTGTTATTTCCCAGAGTAGTTTCACTGAAGCCCAGAGAAATATCTACCTGGTAAGATGTAAATTTGGGCCATAAAAGGGGCTATTAAAAGAATTTTCTCAGAAATAGAATAGATGAGAGAATTTGCAAAGGAAAAAAACACACATGGGCTACAATATAAATTCTACTCTTGGGTTACAAGAATTCCTGTGGCTGCACTGAGATACGTACAAATGTATGTGAAGGCACAATTTGAATCAAGCTATCATAGAATTAACCAAGCTATTAAAATTAATCAAGCTATTAATAAAATCTCTGTGAGGATTTCCTGAAAGAGGGACAAAAGAAGAAATTCCTTGTCCTTTCTCTCCTGGATGTATCAGTATGCCAAACGTTTTCCAGAACATATTCGCTAGCACTCAAGTCTGTTCTTTCTGAAAGGCTGAGGCTCATGCCATCTTGGCATGCTTTAGGATTATGGCAAGGAGGTAAAAGTCCATTTTTTCATTCAACTAACACTGGTTGAGAATAGACCCAATGCTAAGTGACAGGAATGAATAGAAGCATGGCACTTGCCCTTGGGGGCTACAGTCCATGGATGAGCAGCACTGGAGCCTGGTAAATGCAGATAAAACAACAAACTTGACAAGTCTCCAGGCTGATGCACTGGGTTTTAACATACATATAAAGATGAATTGAAACTAGTTTTTAAAAAATATGCTTTAAATAAATTACATATCGTAATCATAGCCAATGTATACCATTAAACTAAAATAACTGCAATTTTCTAGATATTTTTTATTCTTCTGTAGTCATTGTTTAGAACTCTGGTTTCCTGAGGTCATTTTGTCATTTTAATATCATGCTTGACAATGCTATGTTTTCTCTTCCCTAGAGTTAACCATAAAGATACAGTGCCTACTCTGTGAAATACAGCATTAGGAATTAATTATAAACTAATTATCAGTCATCTTTTGAAAACAAAGTTTTGAATTGGCTATAGGACTCAACAAATCTGCCTGGTGTAAATAGAATCTGTTAAGCTTGATACATATCTAGATAGATGAGGAGGGGTTGTATTCATTAAGCATGAGAATAGAGAAATAGGAGTGCAAAATGGCAAAATCTTAACGTGGGTGAAAGAGCTTCCTTTTACTAGTGAGGTTTAAGTATTAAAGTAACAATAGCCTGGTGGCAGATGAATGCAATTTCTATAGGATGGGAATGGAAAATGTATGCTTTGGTTAACACCATTGCTGTTGACTTCATGCAGATTCTATTAAGCACTCTCATTTCAGGAGCCATTTTTCCCACATAGTATATTAGTATATTTTAAGCTTAGCTCCCTTTATTTTTCTAAAGTTGATAAATCACCTCCCTAGCAACCTTAGTTTTAAAAAAAAAATCACTAAGATAGAAAAAGTATTTTCAGGTACATAGACATGTTTGTCCTCAGGTTTACCTGCTTCTGTGAACAGTCCCAGATTTTACAATGCAGTTTTCAAATACCATCAATCACTACAATGACAATATTACTATTTTCTTAACAGGTTTCTAAACGATGTATGTGTGGGATCACATTAAAAGTAAGATCACCTTATAATTATCTTAGAAACTTTGCCCCTTGAAGGGAGTCCAAGGAAGACCTACATTTTATTGAATTCTGAATAGCAAAAGCTCTCCGAGTGAGATTTCATTGTGTGGATTTGTGGTTTGGAGCCAATTACTTGATTTTCTTCAGATTTTATTCTACTTATTTATTGGTACTCTGCTTCATTTCAAAAGGATTTGAGGCAGCTACTAAAATATATATAATACAAAACAAAAATTAAGTGAGGAACTCAGAGCAAACAAAAATAGAAACAGAAAGGATAAGACAAAACTAGACGTATATTTAGTACATAAATGCAGAACCCTGACATGCTTTACTAAATTTGCCAATGAGTGACACCATGAAAAATAATAGAATTAGTGGTAATGACAAGAAGAAGTACTTCTGCATGATAAGAACAAATCTTTCCCCATGCAGGTAGAGGTTTGAAATAGCATAGATCATTAAAATCCACAGGTAAGCTTCAAACCTAGATTTTGCTAGCTACATGTGCCTGGCATATAGTGTGTATTCAAGAAATACCTGATGATTGACAGAATGAATGAATTGGAGGAAAATGAAATATTTATTCAACAATTACTTGTGGAGTGCCTATTATGTACTATGGCAGATATTGATATCGTAAGTCAGATAAAAATCCAGCTCTTAAGAAGTAGAGGAAATAGAGCTTGGTGTGGTGGCATGTGCCTATGATCCCAGATAGTTGAGAGACTGAGGGAGGAGGATCACTTGAGCCCAGGAGTTCAAGGCTGCAGTGAGCTATGATCACACCACTGTACTCCAGCCTGGGTAACAGAAGAATACCCTGTCTCTTAAAAAGGAAAATCAAATAGGGGAAATGGGATATATAAATAAAGAACAATAGTGAATGTGTCAGGTGAGATGACGGACTTGTAATGTGCTGTGGGGGGTCAAATATGAAGAAGGCCTTCTTCCTCTGGAAAGGTCATAAAGAATGTCACACTTGTGTTGGAACTTGTGAAGTGGGTAGAATTTTATCAAGTAGAAATGAGAGAAAGGCATGCCAAGCAAAGGATCGGCATGAATAAGGTCTACTAGTTTGTGGTCCTCTGGCTAAGAATTTGTGCTGTGCCTCCATTAAGAGAAAGCAAGGAGCTAGTTTGCCTGGAGCACATGATTTATGCATGACTTATACATGCAACAATAAGAAATAATGCTAGGAAGGCAGGTGAGGGATCACTCACAGAGAGACTTGAATGTCACACTGAGCTGACTGGCTTTCCTCGGGTGAGAGAGTGGGAAATAATTGGGGAACTGACGAAAGTGTGAATCCAGGAAGGCTGAACTTTAAGAAAGCTGAGACGGTGGCTTCCTTACCTATGCAAGGAACTAACAAGCCACATATACACTCCAAATTGATTTAACAAATTAAAGAGAAAAATAGCTGTACTTTGAGTCCTGTGTCTGCATTCATCATTAACCTAAGAAAATACAGCCATTTAATACGTGGACAAGCAACACAATTTAACAGCCACTTTAAAGTTTTCAACAATAGGTTTCAACAACTAAACCTAACAACTTTTTATATCTATCTAATCTAAACAGTAAAATCTCAGCTCCAGGTTTTACTGAGCTTGAGTGCTACTTTTTTTTTTTTAGACAGAGTCTCATTCTGTCACCCAGGCTGGAGTGCAGTGGCATGATCTTGGCTCACTGCAACCTTCACCTCCCGGGTTCAAGCTATTCTCCTGCCTCAGCCTCCCAAGCAGCTGGGATTATAGGCGTGTGCCAGTTCTACTTCTTAGTAACAAACTAGTAGCTAATCAAATGCCTACATAATGGTCATGATAAATCTGTTTAAATAAATGGCGGGCGGAAGGGAGTTGTTGAATTTAACAATCCATCCTTCTTCAGAATCTATAGGTCAGCCAGAATATAAATCTAGTAATTATTGAAAAACAAAACACAAACTCCTTCAAAGAAATCTCTCTCCTCTATTCTGCTGAAAAGGGTTGGTAAACCTGACATCCTTTCTTTTATTGGAAGACAAATCCAACATTTGTTAGACATCCAACATTTGTTGGAAGTCTACCTTACAAGAAACCACCTCTTATCTGCAACATAAACAGAAGCTACATCAGGTTGAAAATCCACATAGAAGACTGGAGAAAATTGCCGTCCCCTTTCGCACTAGGTTTTACCAGGGGCCCAAGATGTCAGAGGAAAGTCCGCGGAGGGCCAAACACAGGTTTACCTAATTATGAATCTCAGATTAGAATGTCTTATTGTGTGGAAAAGTCAGAACTCAGGAAATGTGTCTGAAGCCAGAGCGGGGGTCTGCTTACGGAGTCTACGCAGCGGGTAGGGGTCCACTATTGGAGTATAAACCTCAGGTCAGTGAGTAGTGCAGAGGTGTCCCTAACTTCCAATGGAGGGAAAGAGAGGAGAGCAAAGGAAACACATCCAGAAGTCGCCACGAGGGCTGTGTGCCAGCGCTCCATTTTCATGCTGTTTGGAACAAGACGTGTCAAGGAAGATGTTTCTATCCAAAGTCTTCATGGAGCCTCTGCTTCCCCTGTACCTGTGTAGCTCCCTGAAACTGAGGACCCACGTGTCTGCAAAGACCTCTGGAGATCCTAAGAGAGAGAGGCACCAGCAGGTAACCAGTGGTGGCCTGGCCACGAAAGAGTATTTGAAATTCAACAGTGAGCAAGTGCAGAAACAGCATCCCAAACCGCAGGCCCCACCACACGCAGGAACCAGAAAGCTGAAGTTTCACCAAGGAGTTTACTTAGTATTTCTCGCTGGGAATGGGGATGGGTAGCAAAAAGCCCCTTTCATGTACATAATGGTTGGTCCTATGTCCTACTTTTATTTTCTCTAAGAGTTTTAGAAGAAAGGCTGTTTTAATTTTTTTTTCTCCTTAAGAGCAACTTCCTTTTTAAAATGCTTTCCTCTTCTTGTCCTGCTTGAGTAATGCAGGCATCATTCTGAAATCATTCTGAAACAGCTAGGCAGTCGCCTTTTGCCAAAATTACTTCTCTAAGAAAATAGAGTGTTCTTTTTTTTAGGACTTAGAACCCACAAGGGGTGAGTGGAAGTTTTGTAGCCCATCAAAGGTGAATATGTGTTCTGCAGTATCAACTAAAACAGTGTACAAAATCATTAAACTGGGCCGGGCGCAGTGGCTCATGCCTGTAATCCCAGCACTTTGGGAGGCCGAGGCGGGTGGATCACCTGAGGCCAGGAGTTCAAGACCAGCCTGACCAACATGGAGAAACCCCATCTCTACTAAAAATACAAAATTAGCCAGGTGTGGTGTTGCATGCCTGTAATCCCAGCTATTAGGGAGGCTGAGGCAGGAGAATCGCTTGAACCCGGGAGGCAGAGGTTGCAGTGAGTCGAGATCACACCATTGCACTCCAGCCTGGGCAATAAGAGCAAAACTCCGTCTCAAAAATAATAATAATAATAATTTAACTGTGTTCTGCACACACAGAATTACAAAATCCCTATAGGACTTTCACAGATAGCTTTGGGCTTAAGGTCTTCGGACAACAGGTAGTTCTAATTTCTTACTCTTTGGGACATTTAGTACATGTTGGTACACATAAGGAAAGAAAATGGCTTATATTAGAGCTAGGAAACAGGGGCAGCCTGGATTTTTATGGTAGGAACTCACTCTGTGCTTTTTTTTTTTTCTGTTAAGTTTTCTTGACACTGACTTCGGTAACATTGGCTAAAGGGAATTGTGAGTCATGTGAATTTCACCTGCAGTGCAGACTTTAAAGGACTGTGTTCATTCTGATTTGGGGATGAAGAGAATGTTCCATGCACATCTATTGATTGGTCTTGGCAGTTGCTGATACGCTTGTCTCATTCACACTCCCAAAGGCGAGGATTTACCCTAGAAATCATAAACCCCCACTTTCCAAAGCAAAGATGCTGTTAATGTTATGATGGTGCATAAATACCTCAACTGTCTGGGCTGAGAGAGGGGGCTGCAGGTTTTTAAGAGAGCAGCTATAGTCCTCATTCCATGTAGTCACATCATCTGATGACAGGACTCCACATTCTAGCTTTTCTCACTGTGGAAAAGAAACGTTACTGTTTAATTAATATCCAAAGTTATAAATACAGCTTGTAAATTTTACTAACTTGTTTCTTTTTCGTTTCGTCCTTGAGAAGTACAACTTGCATTTACAGATGGTAATTCCTAGTGTTGTTCTCTGCTATCTTTTTTTGGTATGAAATTGCTGTATTTGTTAAAGTTTGTTCGTTTTGTGGTTTTTAATTCCCATTGGTGTGCTGTACAATGTAGTGTATCATGAAGAAAGAAATAATATGCAGATGTATTATGAAATGTGTTTTATTTTCAAATGTGTGGTGTTGACAATATATTGATTTATCAAGATACTAAGGGAAAATTCTAAATTTAACAAAATGTGTATATTTTAATAAATGCATAAAGCTTTATTGTGTGCCTTTAAATTTAAAAATGGGTTTATAAAGAAAGTCAGAAACAAAAGTGTCTTACTATAAAATATCCATAGTAATGTAAAGCTTTTACACGAGACTACCAAAAAAAAAGAAAGAAAAGAAAAAGGAGCCTTCCCATATTTTGTTAACCTTAACCAGTATCTGAAGTCTGTTACTTTTTTTCCATTCTTAAATGGAGATGAATAAGTGAATTTCGCCTTAAGTGTTTCAATTGTCCTTTGTAGAAAAGCCAGATAAATGAGTTCACTTTGAATTGCATTATTGTGGAAAATTCATTTTCAGAATAAAACATTTTAAAAAGTACAGCTAATCGACTAATAAAATTTAAATTTGAAGAAAGTCAGTGCCATCCTACCCCTTTAAATTTACTTTACTTCCATGAGGAGAACATGAAAGTTCCACTTTAGTGGGCTCTCAGAAGAACCTGACCTGGCGCTGTCTCCCTCTCACGTTCTTCTAACAAGGGTACAGGGCTCTCTCAGGGACCCTGCTCACTACACTGCCTCATTAATTACCCCTCTCCCGGTGCAGTCCTACTCAAGCTGCAGCCCCCCACACCCTCTGCACCATCTTATGTCTAATACAGAACATTCAGTTCATTGCCCCCATTTATTTTAAAGAACAATTAGAAGAACAGTATCTGCCTACAGTCCCAAACCAAATTACCATAGCATTGATGGTGGCTTAATTGATCTTACTTGTTGATGGCGCAGGTGGTGATACCTGGAGAAAAAGGTAGAGGGTGTAGCAGGGCCACATATTTTCCATATCACATGGGATGCAAAGAAACTGCCATATCTTTATTTCCTGCAACTCCCTGATCTCCCTTGCAATGGTCCACCTGCCTCGATAGCAGGGGAAGAAAAACAATCCATAAATATATTAATGTTTTATATATAAATGTATTGTGTAATCATGTCTTAAATGTATTAAGGTATGACGGAATCCCAGTTGATTTCCATTTGCTGTTTTTAGATGGTTGAGTCCATTTGGGATAAATGCTCAGTCTTTTGGATTTCCTCCCTTCCCCTTGCTTCTCTCCAAATTACTTCTGGAAACAGAGCTTCTGTGATCTCATAAGGAGAGGGGTGCAAATGAGAACTAGGGTACTCTGGACCCCTTAGCTCCTGCAGAATAGCTACCTGGACTGCCCCTGGACAGGTGACAACTGAGGAGAACCTGACCCATCCAGCCATGTGGGCTTCATGATGACATTCACTTTCAACGTCTGCAGGTCTGGCACTGAACCCAGTCATGAAGTTCCGGCACACTGATGCCTCTTCATTCAGACTCCAGGCCTGGGCTGGCCCACTGAGCCCTCAGCACTTTAGAATCCACTTCTTGTCACCCTGAGTCTTGGGAAATCAGAATCACCACGTTAGACTCGAGTATCCAGCCACTTCCTTCACTAATAATACACATTCATTCCTGAGCTCTGCTCATTGAGAATTGGAGCCAATGACATGCTGCAGCTTGCTCATGAAAATGATTGGTAACTTACAACTTTTGTGAGTCAGTTGCTAAATACAACATTATTAAAACTTGAGTTCTATAAACTTACAAATAAATTAATTACATTGAAAACAAAGGCAATAAATACTCAAAGCTATTTTACTATGTTTTACTGTTACCTATGCTCTCGAGGTTATTTACAATTATTATATCTGCATGGCAGAAATACTACATAATGATGAGCTATTGCACATCTCTTCCTCAACTCTATGTTTAGTGAATTCACATTGGAAGCTTGAAATCAGCCGTAGTGGAAGGATTTACACCATGGGAATTGGAAAATGCTACAAAATCAGAACTGTTTTTCTCTCTCAGAGAAATGGCTGTACACATTTACCAGCAGATCACTGCTTATATCCCTTCCAAGTACGTATACCATTACCCCCAACACACAATGTTTTCAGGCTTTCTCACTCCTACCATACCTCCACCCACAGAGGAGGGAAAGCCTGGACAAGCATTTCATCCCCTCTATTCTACCTCTATTTTTCTTCCCCTGTCCACCATCCATCAGGACCAGCAGGGGCTGGGTTTCCACTCTTTTTTCCTTCTGACAAGGACTCCCTCTACATATTATCTTACATATGTCCTCCTGGGGACAATAGCCTCATAACTGGTGAAAGGATTGCCCTTTTTTTTTTTTTTAACCACAGAAGAGACTACAAATAGTATCCAAGAGGAGTCATAGGACAATTTAGAAGTAGGGATTACCAGGATCAAAAATAATTGGATTAATATTCCAAACTACAACCTTATTACATGGGTCTTAAAATTAAAAGGTTATTCAATAACAAGTATTGGGGAGGATGTGAAAAAATTAGAACCCTTGTGTACTGATGGGAACGTAAAAGGGTATAAACTTTATGAAAAACAGTATGGCAGTTCCATGGCCGGGCGCGGTGGCTCACGCCAGTATTCCCAGCACTTTGGGAGGCTGGGGCGGGCAGATCACTTGAGGTCAGGAGTTTGAGACCAGCCTTCCCAACATGGTGAAACCCCGTCTCTACTAAAAATACAAAAATTAGCCAGACGTGGTGGCACACACTTGTAATCCCAGCTACTTGGAAGGCTGAGGTGGGAGGATTGCTTGAACTCAAGAGTTTGAGGCTGCAGGGAGCTGAGATTGTGCCACTGAACCCCAGCCTGAGCAACAGAGTGAGACTCTGTCTCAAAACAAAACAAAAACAAACAAAAAAGAAACAGTGTGGCAGTTCCTCAAAAAATTCAATGTATAATTACCACATAATCCAGCAATCCCAGTTCTGTGTATATATCTAAAAGAATTGGAAGCAGCATTTCCAAGGATATTTGTACACCCATGTTCATAACAACACTATTCACAATAGCTAAAACATGAAAACAACCCAACTGTCCACCAATGAGTGAATGGATAAGCAAAATATGACCTATACATACAATGGAATATTCAGCTTAAAAAGGAATGACATTCTGCCATATGCTATAACATGGATGAACTTTGAAAACATGCTGAGTGAAATAAGCCAATCAGCCAAGCTCGGTAACTCACACCTATAATCCCAGCACTTTGGAAGGGTGAGGCAGGGAGATTGCTTGAACCCAGGAGTTCAAGATCAGCCTGGGAAACATGAGGAAACCCAGTTTCTACAAAAAATACAAAAATTAGCTGGGCATGGTGGTGCATGCCTGTAAACCCAGCTACTCAGGAGGCTGAGGTGGGTGGATCCCTTGACCAGCCTAGGCAACATGACAACCCCATCTGTACAAAAAAATATGAAAATGAGCCAGGTGTGGTGGCGGATGCCTGTAGTCCCAGCTATTCGGGAGGCTGAGGTGGGAGGATTGTTTGAGCCTTGGTGCTCAAGGCTGCAGTAAGCCATGATCTTGCCACTGCACTCCAGCCTGGGCAACAGAGCAAGACTCAAAAAAAAAAATCAAATACTTTCACAAATTATGCATCCAGCAAAGGTCTAACATCCAGAACCTATAGGGAACTTAAACAAACCAACAAGCAGAAAACAAATAACCCCATTAAAAAATGGGCAAAGGATATAAACAGACATTTCTCAAAAGAAGACATACAAGTGGCCAACAAACATATGAAAAAATGCTCAGCATCACTAATGATCAGAGAAATGCAAAGCAAAACCACAGTGAGATACCATCTCACACCAGTCAAAGTGCCTTTTTAAAAAGGCAAAAAACAACAGATACTGGAAAGGTTGCAGACAAAAAGGAACACTTACACACTGTTCGTGGGAATATAAATTAGTCCAGCCACTGTAAAAAGCAGTCTGGAGATTTCTCAAAGAACTTAAAACAGGCCGGGCACAGTGGCTCACTCCTGTAATCCCAGCTGTTTGGGAGGCTGAGATGGGTGGATCACTTGAGGTCAGGAGTTCAAGAACAGCCTGGCCAACATGGTGAAATCCCATCTCTAAAAATACAAAAATTAGCCAGATGTGCTAGCGCACATCTGTAATCCTAGCAACTTGGGAGGCTGAGGCAGGAGAGTCACTTGAGCCTAGGAAGTAGAGGTTGCAGTGAGCCGAGATCACACCACTACACTCCAACCTGAGCAACACAGCGAGACTCCATCTCAAAAAAAAAAAAAAAAAAAAAAAAAAAACAGAGCTACCATTTGACCCAGCAATCCCATTACTGGGTATATACCCAAAAAAAATAATTGTTCTACCTTCTGCCAAAAAGACACACGAACTTGTACATTCATCACTGCACCATTCATAATAGCACAGACATAGAATCAACCCAGGTGCCCTATCAATGGTAGATTGTATAAGGAAAATGTGGTACAGATATACCATGGAATACTATGCAGCTGTAAAAAAGAATGAAATCATGTCTTTTGCAGCAGCATGGATGCAGCTGGAGGCCATAATCTTAAAAAAAATTAACATAGGAACAGAAAACCAAATACCACATGTTCTCATTTATAAGTGGGAGCTAAACACTGAGCATTCATGGATATAAATATGGGAACAACAGACACTGTGGACTACTTGGGGTTGGGGAAAGAACTACCTATTGGGTGCTATGCTCACTACCTGGGTGATGGAACCCATACTCCAAACCACAGCATCACGCAATAACCCCATGTAACAAAGCTGCACATGGACCCCTGTATCTAAAATAAAAGTTGAAATTTTAAAAAATAATAAATACTTGATTAGAAATTTAGGAGATCTTCATAAGCCAAACAGTTCTTCCACATTTTATTCCCAGCTATCAACAGTTCGCTGACTGGCAAAGAGAGCCCTTTCTGTGCCAAATTCTCAAATTCCTCCTCTTTCCCCACCTGAGGGTAGGCCCTTCCATGCTCTCATCAGCCTCAATCAAATCCAGGGCAGAAAAAACACCCAGCTCTGAGGCTCAGAGAGAAAACCACATGCTCCCATTTCTAAAACCTAAAAATTCAAACTTTTCGAACTTTTATTATATATATGTGTTAGCCTGATGCTTACCCATCAGAGCCATGCAGAGTGTTTTTAGGAAGGAATGAGCCCTTTGTAGGTCAATTAACTCGATGAGATAAGCATTGCAGCAGGCTTTCCTTCAGAGAGGGGAAATACGAATGATTTCTGACTCTAACTTCAAACAGAGCAACAGGAATGCAATTTGGAACATAATCCAAAGAGGAAATAGTCCATCCCAATTCAATTCTGGTGGCTGGAAGACTGATTTAATTTCCTTCCTAGTGGAGACACTCCTCACAGGGTGGGGTGGGGAGGAGCGAGGGGTTTCCTGGCCACGGGATTTCCCTGTTTCATGAAGCTCTATTTCCAAAGCAGCCCCTTTCATGTACTGAGATTAAGTTTAAGATGCGGATGCAATGTCCTTGGCTTCCTCACTCGTCATGTCAATCTTTTAAGAGAAGGTGGAGATTGGATTAACCAACGTTGATGGAAAGGGCAGGGAAGGAGATGTCCTCCAAGGATGCTTCCATAGCAAGCTGTGAGCCTTGAGGAGCCGCAGAAGAAAGCACCTCTGCCCTATCTGCTCTCTGATGCCAGAAATTCCTCCATTGGAAACAAAGTCCCGCGTTCCTCAATAAGGAGATTGTTAAGTGCCTTCACAGTTAACTCCCCCTGGAAGAAGGAACACAGCGTCTTAATTCACCCACGTTGAGATATGAACGACTGACATCATCAGTTCCTTCTGAGAAAGCAGGTCTTCACAAGCCATGAGAAAAAATATTCTGAGGTCCCTGGGTGCCTGAGAGGGAATTAAGGGGACTCAAGTACAGAAGGGAGAGGCCAGGGTCCCAAAGACATACTTCACAACTTTTCCCCAAGATAGCGCTAAATACAACAAGGACTGGAAGACACCATAAACCTGCCCTGAAGTGAAATCCCCAAGGACCACTCTGAGGGGAGAGATGGCGGTGGGGGGGCGGGGGGGTGGAGCAAAGAGGCTCGGACTTAGAGAGACCAGGATCGCCATTGCTGTCTATGTAAATGCAGGCAAGCCAGGAGGGCAGTGAACGTGCTCTCCTGCTTCCTGCTGCACGCTGGCACCTAGTGCGGAGCCTGGGGCACAAGAGGCACTCAATAAATATTTCCTGAAGGAGTGAATACATACAAGTTAAGTTTTCCGGCCGGGTGCAGTGGCTCACACCTGTAATCCCAGCACTTTGGGAGGCCGAGGAGGGCAGATAACTTGAGTGACTTCGAGACCAGCCTGGCCAACATGGTGAAACCTCGTCTCTACTAAAAATACGAAAACTAGCCAGGCGTGGTGGCGGACGCCTATAATCCCAGCTACTCAGGAGGCTGAGCCAGGAGAATCGCTTGAACCAGGGAGGCGGAGATTGCAGTCAGCTGGGATAGCGCCATTGCACTCCAGCCTGGGGTAACAAGAGCGAAACTGTGTCTCAAAAAAAAAAAAAAAAAGGAGTTAAGTTTTCCCTCATCATCCAGATACCCTCGCTATGCTCCCGCCAAAAGCAGAGAACAATTTCAATCACTCTGTTTAAATATTCAACAGTTCTATCTGAAAGAATTCAGATCCTTTAATCACTTTTAGAAAATGATCCTAAGAAAATAAATCACCAGATGTATTTATCTGTAACTACAGGGGAAAAAAATACCAAAAAAAAAATTGAAATCGACTTAATGCCCCAAACTAGAAATTGTTTAAATTAATTATGGTGTATCTATAAAACTCAATACTGTATAGCCATCTAAAAACAAGTTTTCAAAGAATGTTTAATGACATAAGGAATGGCAATTATGTTAAATTGTAAAAGTAGGATGCAAAATGTATATTTAGTATATATTTAGTTTTGAATAAGTGTGTATGTTATATAGCATAGAAAAATATTTGGAAGAAGATTATATAAAGTGTTAATGATTGTTACCTCTAAAAATTCTGATTTGGGGTGGTTTTGCATTTTCTTTTTCATACTTTTTTGTTTTCTCTAGCTGTTCTTCAAAGCATATTTTACTTTTCTAATCAGAAATAAAAATAATCTTTATTTCTTATGACAGAAGGGCCTTTTCAAATATTTGTCATGTTCTCACTGACAAACCAAGAAGGCATCCTGGCACCTTTTTCCAAACAATGACACAAATAATAGAAGCTAGCCTCTCAAGGCCACATCATACACAGGCCACTCTCTCTACATGGCATATATAGGTTTAGGATGCTTATATTCCATCAGCAGAAGGAAGTCACACTCAGAGTTCATTAGCTTGGATGTCTGGCCTACATACATATTGGTTTTGTTTTGTTTCTTTCAGGATGTAAGTATGATTTAATCATTTCATACATATAAATTCTCAGTTAGGAAGAAAAGTGTATGGGGGTTCTGGAAATATGGTCACCTTCATGATAGCATAGAATACCATATCTATAGGTCAGCCTTGAACTTAGATGTCATTGATCTCTGAAGAATGTCATAACACTGCCTTATTCATAACATAGTGCTACAACATAAACCCCAAACATATATATTGTTAAGGACTAAATATTAGTGTGAATTTGTTCCAGATGTCAAAGATTTCCAGAAAATTACAATTTTAAAGGACAAATGCATACATCTGTGTATTTCACTGTAAATATTCAGCTTAATTGTTCCACCAAATCTGGGGATACCGCTTGCCATAATGGCCAATAATTATTTGTTAAATCAGATCGAACAGAATTTTATCCACATCTGCCAAAAATGTAATTATGTATAAAATGTGTATATGGTTCATGATTTGTAAATGAAATATATCCTTCACTAAGGTCATTTTTCCCCTTAAAATCTTCAGTGGCTCCCTACTGCCAACAGAGCAAAGCCCCTCACAGCCGCATCACACCCAGCTCTCCAGGTTCATGGCTGCCCCTCCCCCAGGCATCTTATATCCTGACCTCAACCAGCTCCTCAGTGTTTCCTGAGCACACTCTCTTTTCTTGTGTCTTCTTGAATGTCCTTGGCCCACTTGTTGGTTCAGCATACTCCCATTTATTCTTCAACTTCGTCTCAAAAGTATCTCCTCTCTTTGACTTTCTGGAATTTGCCCTCTGTCTCCCTTCCTCCCCCACAAGTTCCCATAGCAGTCTTTTTTTCATGTACATAGCATTTTACATGTTGAATACAGTTATTGGTTTATATGTCTCTCTCTCTCTTCCCCTGTGGATCAGAAGCCTCCAAAAAGATACAAAAAAGAAAATATTATTTAATTTTCTAAAATGTTTTTAATCTCAGGATTAAGAAAAATTAAGCCTCATATTTAATATGTAAGGCCTAATTTGTATCGTATTGTATTGTATCATGGAGTTTACTATGGATTTAGATGGAATCACGTATTCATCAGAGCATCCTTCTGTGGTCTGATGACCATGCGGGTCATCAGGTGCTCCCGAGGATAAAGGATCCTCATCAATGAAGAGAGGTGGGCAGTGCCACCATCACTCTTCATTTGAGATATGATAGTTGTTAGATTATAAATGCCCATTTAAGTAGACGTTTACATTGCATTATTTGTTTCTTCTAAACTAACCCCATAAAAAACAACTAGTCATTTTAAAAGATTCCTGCAAAGATACCATAAAATAGCCATTGCAGTGAAAACAGTGGAGCCAAAAATACAAAAGTTTGCCATGTAACAAGAATTTCAAAACAAAATAAGGCTGGGCACAGTGGCTCACGCCTGTAATCCCAGCACATTGGGAGGACGAGGCAGGTGGATCACCTGAGGTCAAGAGTTTGAGACCAGCCTGGCCAACGTGGTGAAACCCCATCCCTACTAAACATAAAAAATTAGCCAGGTGTGGTGCAGGGCGCCTGTAATCTCAGCTACTTATGAGGTGGAGGCAGGAGAATCGCTTGAACCCCAGAGGCAGAGATTGCAATGAGCTGAGATCGTGCCATTGCACTTCAGCCTGGGCAACAGAGTGAGACTCTGTCTCCAAAAAAATAAATAAATAAATAAAATAAAAATAAGCACTGTTAATCTGTGATTTTATGAGAAATAATCCGTGAACTCATGAGAAAGCAATTGCTTTTAATTGCTTTTCAAATGAAATGAGTTCTATGGAGAGACCATTTTGAACAAAGATATTTGGACAGGTATATTATCTTATTAATGAAAATATTATGTGTCATCCATAAAAATAGTCCTATCATAGATACAGAAAATTTAGAATTTTTAAACGTGGTTAAGTAATCTTACAAATCAAGAGTCTCCATGGGCTTTCAAGCCATTTTTTAGAAATACAAAAATGCAGCCGGGTGCAGTGGCTCACACCTGTAATCCTAGCACTTTGGGAGGCCAAGGCAGGGAGATCATCTGAGGTCTGGAATTTGAGACCAGCCTGGCCAACATGGTGAAACCCCGTCTCTACTGAAAAAAAGTAGCTGGGCGTGGTTGCGTGTGCCTGTAATCCCAGCTACCTGGTAGGCTAAGGCAGGAGAATTGCTGCAACCTGGGAGGTGGAGGCTGCAGCGAACCAAGATTGCACCATTGCACTCCAGCCTGGGTGATAGAGTGAGACTCCATCTCAAAAAAAAAAAAAAAAAGAAAAAAGAAAAGAAAAGAAAAAGAAATGCAACATATTCTGATTAGCTTGCAAGAACAACTGAAAGGCATCAAGGAAAATGGAGAAACTACTGCCAAATTTTAATGTAAATCTTTGCAAAATGTTTAATATAAATCTTTGCATTATACCCTTTGACGCAGGGTATAACGATATGATTATGTGTTTCTGCTGTATGGTTCTATGTATCCATATAAGATTTTTTTTTCAGCTAAAGCAGCCACTGAAACCAAGTAATAAAATTAACTGAACTAAGAATCAGACCTTTGAATGTTTTTATCCCAAATATTAAATAATGAAGTAGGTTCAAATATTGATCTCACTAAAATATTACTAACAAAAAAGAAAAAAGCTTGTATCATTAATAAATAATATGAAATAAAATTAAAATGTTATTTCATTTTTTCCTATTATTTAACTTTTTGTGTACATTTTATGCTGTACATGATACATTATTACAGCTGCACATCTTTATACAATTAAATAAACATAAGTATGGACATTTATTGCCAGAGGAGGTAGTTAATAAAAGTTTGCAGAATGAGAATCTTCTTATAAGATCTAATAGTATAGATATAAAAAATGGCATGAGTCCTATACATAAAATGTGAAGAAAGATATAAAAAGGGGGGGACGGGAAGAGAAAAAGAAACTGTTGGGAGGCCATGGTCTGTTTTTTTATAATAATCAAACAGAGAGAAATCCTCTCTAAAAATTTCGGTGGCCTAATATTTAAGCTACACCACTGGTTAAAAGACAAAAATGTGGAATTATCTATCCATATAAGAAAGTATATTAGAGAAGAATTATATCTTGAAGTTTAGTGGCATTTTCTAGCAAACTCTCAAGATCTGATCATTAAAAAATAAATTCATTTGACAGAACAAAGGCACATTCTAGTATCTTTCCTAAGAACACACTAATTTGAATTCATAATAGGATGAATTCTAAGTTTCTAAAAAATGCCCAGCTGGTTATTGAAAAAAAAAATAGATGGAAATTAGAGGCATTTTTATCACTTATCATTATATAGCAATTTAGTGTTTGAAAATGAGATTGAAACATGTTTTGTTTTCTTCTCACGCATCCCGTGGAACTTTTGTTTCCGCTTAACAGGTTAGAAGGCGGATGCACGTGAAGCTAATGCACTTATTGCTGTACCCATATCTTCAGTTGCCCACAAAATATTTTACCTCAATTCTTCAGCAAAACTTGAATCTTAAAAACTGCTCTTTTCAGGTGCTGGAATTCATTTAATGACCTAATGAGACGAGGAGAGCAAATTTGATGGCAACCAAATGAACTATGGATGGGGCAAAGGGACAGGAGACAATTGGAGAAGAAATAAAAGGAAAAACAACTTTCACTGTGGTGGGGGCAAACATATGGAACTTGTTAACTTCAAGTGACATTGCTAGCTGAAACATTATGGGGTTCAAGGAGGGTTCAGAGGTATTCATGGGGAAAAACTCTCTAACAGGCTACGAAGTGAAAGTTGGATTTGTTCCGGAGACAACGCCTGGCTTTGGAGGTGGCCCTCCAGGAGGACACTTACCCAATCCTTCTCCCCATCAGGAGCACAGCAGCTACCCCAGCCTGACACAGTGCAAGATTCTTTTGTCCTTATCATGACATCAGAAATAAATTCCAAATCTTAATACACAGAAGGAGTCTTTGATGGCCTCCCAGCCACAGCTTGGCCCAGCACCCTCCCTTGGAGGGAAAGTACAGGACTGAGAAATCAGAATCCTGGCTCTCTTTCTTTTCCATCCTGAGGCCAATTTTTTTTTTAACAATACCAAGGCTCTGTCTTCTCTCTAGGGGTCTTCCAGGATCAAAAGTGGCTTAAAAAGACCTCTTGATCTAGTGTGCACTCTTGTTTTATTTTCAAGTTTTAAGCCAAAACTGGTTAACTTCAAAAGGGCTATGTGCAAAAATCCTAATATTGTTTTCCTAAAGAGGTCTTGTTGTATGATTGATATTTTGAGGGTTTTCCAGCCCAGTGATTTCTTTGCTGAAAACAGAGCATACCCACTCGTTTTGGCATTTCGTTTGCCAACCAAATCTATAGCCTGAACACTGTCCATTCCCTTGCCTTAACAACACTGGGACTTGCTAACAAGTGCTGCCCCCAGTGAACCACACCTACCAAAAAGTATTTGTGTGTGCCTTTACTTTCTGCATACATCCCTGTCATTAATTAGGACCTCAAGGCCTACGAGAGAGTTTATTTCCTTCCATAGAGAATTCCCCTTATTTCCTGAAAATCTGTTTGTGACGTGGTAGAGAATATGAGTCTATATTTCCTCTTTCCAGAGATACAAATATCCAAGAGCCCCTATACCATAGAGAAGCTTGAGTTCCTTTTATTTTCCAATTGACTACAGACAAAGGATTATTTTCTAAGAAAATCTGTTTTGAAAAACCAACAGGTCTATAATTTAACCCTACCCCTAAACTAACATTTTTAACTGGGAAAGTATTTGTGTTAAAAAATCTTTTTTTTGAGATGGAGTCTCACTCTGTCATCCAGGCTGGAGTGCAGTGGCACAATCTTGGATCACTGCAACTTCTGCCTCCCGGTTCAAGGGATCCTCCTGTCTCTGCCTCCCAAGTAGCTGGGATCACAGGCATGCACCACCACACTCAGCTACTTTTTGTATTTTTAGTAGAGACGGGGTTTTGCCACATTGGCCAGGCTGATCTCCACTCCTGACCTCAGGTGATCCACCCACCGCGGCCTCCCAAAGTGCTGGGATTACAGGTGTGAGCCACCGTGCCCGGCCCTTTTTTTTTCTTTCTTTCTTTTTTTGAGACAGTCTGGCTCTGTCGCCAAGGCTGTAGTGCAGTGGCATGATCTTGGCTCACTGCAACATTCGCCCCCCAGGTTCAAGTGATTCTCCTGCCTCAGCCTCCCAAGTAGCTGGGATTACAGGCACCCACAACTACGCCCGGCTAATTTTTTGTATTTTTAGTAGAGACTGGATTTCACCATGTTGGTCAAGTTGGTCTCGAACTCCTGACCTCAAGTGATCCACCTGCCTCAGCCTCCCGAAGTGCTGGGATTACAGATGTGAGCCACTGCTCCTGGCCCAAAAAATCTTATACTAAGTCTGAAACTGTCCTTTTATTAAAATGGCTCTCCTTTTTTATTTTTTTATTTTTAATTATACTTTAAGTTTTAGGGTACATGTGCACAAGGTGCAGGTTTGTTACATATGTATACATGTGCCATGTTGGTGTGCTGCACCCATTAACTCGTCATTTAGCATTAGGTATATCTCCTAGAGCTATCCCTCCCCCCTCCCCCAACCCCCCAACAGGCCCCGGTGTGTGATGTTCCCCTTCTTGTGTCCATGTGTTCTCATTGTTCAATTCCCACTCATGAGTGAGAACATGCGGTGTTTGGTTTTTTGTCCTTAAAAAAATAAATAAATAAGTGAATGAAGTCTCTTTCAAGAGTAAAATTTTATTTTTATTCTAATTTCAAAAATTAGAACAATAGTCTAAGGTAGTTAAAATATACATTAAGCAATGAACTTTTCCCATTTAATGGAATAAAACTCTAAAACTGAAGAAAAAAAAGGCTTTCCATTCTCTTTTTTTTTTTTTTTTTTTAACAGAGTCTCATTCTGTCACCCTGGGTGGAGTGCAGTGGTGCCATCAAGGCTCACTGTTGCAGCCTTGACCTCCCAGGCTCAAGCAATCCTCCCACCTCAGACTCCTGGGTAGCTGAGACTATAGGTGTGCGCCAACACGCCAGGCTAATCTTCATATTTTTTCTAGAGACAGGGTTTCTCCATGTTGCCCAGGCTAGTCTTGAACTCCTGGGCTCAAGAAATCCTCCTACCTCAGCCTCCCAAAGTGCTGGGATTACAGGCATGAGCCACTGCATCTCTGGCCTTCAATCCACTTTTTTTTTTTTTTTTTTTTTTGAGACGGAGTCTCACTCTGTCGCCCAGACTGGAGTGCAGTGGCGCGATCTCGGCTCACTGCAAGCTCCGCCTCCCGGGTTCACGCCATTCTCCGGCCTCAGCCTCTGGAGTAGCTGGGACTACAGGCGCCCGCTACCACGCCTCATTCCACTTTCTTAGGGAGTAAGTTGCACTTGAAGGCTAGAGTAGCGGTTACTACCTCAGGCTTTACATTCAGACCGCAAAGTTTATAATCCTGGCTGTGGAACCTTAGGCAATTTACTTAACTTCTCCATGCCTCTGTTTTCTCATCTATAAAATGAGTATGTTAACAGCCTCTAACTCATGGGACTGTTGCAATAATTAAGTTAATTAATACATGTGTGTTGTATCGTTATTGTTTTAAATAAAATTGTGTTTCTTTAATATCCTATGAGAAAGATGTGTGTTTTTTACATTCTCATCTCACTGTATTTTATTAAACATAATTCAGTTTCATTTCATAAACGCTAAGCATACCGCAGCAGTAAGAGAACTGGCCTTAACTTTAGAAGATATGGGTTCAAATATTGACCTTGATACTTGCTAGCTCTGTAATCTTGGCTCGTTACCTCATCTCCCTGAAGCCCAGTCTCTTAACATGGAAAAAGGAGATGATACCTTCCTTATAGAATTGTTAGAAAGTGTGACTTAGGCTACAAGTTTCCCCCAAGATCTATTGTCTTATTCTTACAGACTTAATCAAAATTTTACCTAGGCTCCCAGCCTGATAGAATAAAGGCCAGGACCGGCTTCATGGACATGCAACCTGTGCGATCTTACAGGCCCTGCAAGCAGAAGGACCCAGCACTTGGTTTAATGCTCGGCTGTCAACATCTTGAAATTCTTAATAATTTGGTCATTGAACTGGTGTTTTGTTTTTTTGGTGAGGGGGACAGAGTCTTTCTCTGTCACCCAGGCTGGAGTGCAACTGCAAGAACTCGGCTCACTGCAACCTCCGCCTCCCAGGTTCAAGTGATTCTCCTGCCTCAGCCTCCCAAGTAGCTGGGATTACAGGCACGCACCACTACGCCAGGCTAATTTTTGTATTTTTAGTAGAGATGGGGTTTCACCATGTTGGCCCAGGCTGGCCTCGAACTCCTGACCTCAGGTGATCCACCCACCTCGGCCTCCCAAAGTGCTGGGATTACAGGCATGAGCCACCGTGCCTGGCCTGAACTGGTATTTTTTAAGTGAAGTCTGATGGGACAATGGAGCATGCAAGGAAGCAGAGAAAATATGTGTAACATATGCATGAGGATCATTGCTTCGATTCTCCACTCTGCTCTGCTAAACTACCTGGCCGTGCATTTTATGTACATGCCAGTGGCAACTAAGTCAGCTACGTTTTTGCTGCACTTGACACAGTAGAAGCTGAGCTCCGACACCTGGAGAGTTTTTTAATTATTCTGACAAGCAAAAGAGTGATGCCTTCAACTAAGTTCCAGCTCTAAGAAGAAACAGCATGCTCCTCCACAGGTCTCAGCAGGACATCCCACAGAAACCTGAAGATGGCACTTCTCTGCCAGTATCTCACTGTTTTTGCTCATAATTAAGTCAATAAACTTTAGGAAGTTTCAGAATTGGCTGACTTTCCACGCCCACAAAAAAGGTACAACCTTGGGGGAAGACGTAGTTGAAGTCAATATGCATTTATACATCAAATTTTTTTTTTTTTGAGACGGAGTCTCGCTCTGTTGCCAGGCTGGAATGCCGTGGCACCATCTCACCTCACTGCAACTTCTGACTCCCTGGTTCAAGAGAGTCTCCTGCCTCAGCCTCCCGAGTAGCTGGGATTACAGGCACGCACCACCAAGCCCAGCCAATTTTTGTATTTTTAGGAGAGACAGGTTTCACCATGTTGGCCAGGATGGTCTCGATCTCCTGACCTCATGATCCGCCTGCCTCGGGCTCCCAAAGTGCTGGGATTACAGGCACGTGCCACCACGCCTGGCCACATCCAATATTCTTTAGCCTCTTATATTTAATCTGTGCAATGATGCGCGTCCGTTGGTATTTTATTTTCCCCTCTCAGCCAGGGCCGGGCATGGTGGCTCATGCCTGTAATCCCAGCACTTGGGGAGGGGGAGATGAGTGGATCACTTGAGGCCAGGAGCTTGAGACCAGCCTGGCCAACATTGCAAAACCTCCTCTCTACTAAAACCACAAAAATTAGCCTGGTGTGGTGGCTCACGCCTGTAATCCCAGCTACTCAGGAGGTGGAGGCACGAGAATCATTTGAGCCCAGAAGGCGGAGGTTTCCATAAGCCAAGATCACGCCACTGCATTGCAGCCTGAGCAACAGAGTGAGACCCTGTCTAAAAAAAAAAAATTAAATCATTTCAGGTGTAACTTTTCAAAGTACATTAAAGATGACAATGATAATAAACTAATATCATTATTATTCATGACATGCCTGACTTTGCCACTAGACTCTGAGTTATTTGAGCCTGGTACTGTCTCTGTGCTTCCTTTTTATATCTGGTGGCTAATGCATGGCTGGCACATAACAAGTGCTCATTAAATGTTTGCGTGATTAGTTAACCAATTAACAAATGAATGAATGAATAAATAATATGATTTTAGCAGACACTCATAAAACTCATTTTAAGATAAAGTTTTAAGAGTTTGTGAATTTTTAAATAATACAAAAATGTTTCAGTCTTAATAAAATATCAATAAGCTCTAAGGAAGCCCAGATGTGAAAACACAGTGCAGCCATGAATTATGTATCTAGCCTCATACCCTGAAGGCCTGCTTATTCAGAATTCTGTTCCATTCTGAACAGAAGGCAGAATGAGGGGAGATTTTTCATTAATAAAAGCTTTTTAGATTTACTGAAAATATAAATAGTTTTAGGGAAAGAGCTCAAAATTTACAATAATTAATTCTCCAGGATATTGTTCTTATAAAGAGTCTCTTGTTTAGTGATGATTGATTCTCTCCCAAAGACCATCTTGATGAGATTATGGGGCAAGGGGCAGGGAGGAGACAATAAGAATGATTGAATCATACTTTGGGATATTGGTAAATGTAATAGACATGAACACATGAACACATGAACACATCCAAGGTAACACCTTGGATCCTTTCATGTCCCCTAAGCACCTTAATTTCTTTGGGGAAACCCTCCTCTTTTTCACCCCCACCAACCCCCAGGGAAAAAAATATATATGGAGCATAGGACCTAGGCCTGGCCCAATTTCCCTAGCTACATACAGTGATTGGCTCAGGGGCAGGCACATGACTTTTCTAAGCCAATCAGATGCTACCTTCTGGTATTTTAATCTTAAACCAAGTGACAAAAAGACTGAACACAGCTGGAGTTCCTTCATCCTAGCAACAGAACCCTTGCAAAACTGTCTACTTTTTGCTTGCCCTTCCCTGAGTTTGGTTTTTCTGAAAAACTAAATTTTCTTCCCCCAAAACCCTGTTTTCCAAACTCCCCCTCCCCCCCAAAAAATCCCTCTTTTGTTTCATCTATCCAGAGTCTGTTTCTCTTGCTCATAATCAAAGACCCTTATGTGAATATTTTTAATAAAGGCCAGGAAGGTTTCTGAAGGGCCTTGCATGCCAAGCTAAGGCAGTTGCATTTTGAGAAGCGGGGAAAGGGGGAACTCAAAGGATGACAAGCCAGGGAAGCACCTGTTGAGATCTTGATATTGACAAAGGGGAAGCTAGACTCGAAGGAGGAGAGACAGGAGGCATCCAGGAAGGAGATGGTGCGGTCTTGAGGAGATACAGAGACAGCAAGAATGGAGAGGGGAGAAGCTCCAGAGTGCACGATCACGGTAGCATCAATGGGAAAGTAGGTAGTTCAGAACCAGGATCTGGCTTGGGTTCCAAGGAGCAAGCAGAGGAAGAGAAGCAAAGTCATCCCTGAACCTGAGCAGTAGTATTGTAGGACCTTCTATGTGCTACCAAAGCATGACCAGTTCCAACGGGGAAGGTAGATTTGGGAATCGGTTTTGAATCGATGTCCTAAGCAAGCCCAGAACTCATTTGTGAAGTATTTACTGGCAGGCACTCAGAGAGTGGCCCTCACCCTGCCCCATGAGGTCTGAGCAGCTTCCAGATTTTGAGGCTCCCTAATCCTTGATCTATTTCTGCCATATTCAGGCTTAACTATGCATGTGCTCTGAGAGCCATTGTCTGGCCCATCCTCAGTCTACATTTCCCAGGCTCCCTGGACTTCTGACTGGGTAGGTCAACCTAAGAGAGGCACAGGCAGATGACTGGAGGGCAGGAGAAGGGGAGAAACCGCGGTATTTTTCCCTCTTTTGCTCTGCTTCGGTGATGTATTTAGCAGGGACTGAGTCACCTCCCTGGTCCCAGATCCTACAAGGCCCCTTCCCTCTGTGGTCTTAGCCCTCAAGAGGCAGTCCCACCATGGTCCCAGCTCCCCCTAGGTGGCCCTAGCCTCTGGGTTCTAGTCACAGCCTCCTCCTATTGCCTCTTCATCCCCTGTTAGTGGCTTCCAGCTATGAGTTACCTCATCATTCTGCTTGACTTCTCTGCTGTTCCATTATCTACAACCAATTCCCTGTATTAAATTCCCTCTGAAATCCTCAGGTGGTTGCTTTTTTCCTGAACTCTGATTTAGCCAGCTAGTATAGGGAATAGAGGTGCGGGGGGAGTAGAGGTGTGGTGGAGGTGGGTGAGGAAGGTGTCTGTGGGTTTAAGTCAGGATAAATGTTAGTGATAAAACCTCACCCTTTTTCCTTGCATAAATTTACAAGCAGCAGCCCACATATGAGACCTCCTCAGGCTTAAGGTCTAAGCCAATTGGTTCAGGAAGCCCGCTATCCACGTGGACTTTTTTGATTGAAAGTGACAGTGACTCACTTCATACTTGCTTTGACCAAAAACCATGTCGCTGTCTCCTCCAGGGTCACCTAGAATGAGACACCTCAACATTGTTGGGCTCCCTGCTCCCCATCTCTCATTTCTGCTTCCTCTCCCTTCCTACAGATAAGCTTCTTCACAAGACTTATGGACACCATGGATACTGCAAGCTCTTCTAAATGGAGAAAAATGGTGTCCTCTCACAACTGCAGTTTGAAAAGTTCCAGGAGAGAACTTGATTGGCCTGACTTGGGTCACACACCCATCTTCTGGACCTAACGTTCTGGCAAAGGAAGAAGGCCATGGTCCCATTCAGAACACATGGCTGGTGAAAGAAAAGGTGAAATCCTCCAAAGGAAGACGGAAAAACGGACTTGGACTTTGTAGGAATATCTATCAAGACTAGAGTCTCTGCCAAGTCAGAATTCTTTTGGTTGCAATTGACAAAACCCAAATAGGAAAAGTAAAGGAATTGGTGGGGGTGTTGGTTTATGTAACCAAAGGGCTTTTATGAAGCTGGCCTCAGAAACTATGGAATCAAGCCCCCCATATATCATGAAATTCTCTGTTCTTTGGCCTCCACTTCTCTCTGCATTTTGGCCTCATTTTCCCAGACTCACTCTTTCCACACAGCTGGAATGACGGCTGCTAAGAGCTTCTAGACTCACATCTTTCCGGTTTTGCTATCAGAGAAATGTGCTGTATCCCATGGCTCCAATAAAGAATGGGCTCTGGCTGGTCCAATTTAGATGAAAAGCTGCCCTCCTGGGCTGATCCCAGTTATCTCAGGTCAGTGATGTACTGTGATTGGCCCAGCCTGAATTAGGCTCTCACCCCAAAACCAGAAGGATGGGCCAAAAAAGATAAAGGCAGCTCTCATTCTGATGGAATGGCTAGTTCAAAAAAGGAGCAGCTCCCCAACACTACAATCCCTTCATTTTAGAGCCCTAGGTAATAGGAAATAACACCCTGGCAATACACCCTTGGGGAAATCCCTTTACTTTTCTGGCTCCCAGTTCCTTCATATGACTCATCTTTCTGCAATGGTCTGTTCCAATGCCCATATTCATTGGACCTTTTTCAATGGTTCTCAAACTTTAGAGAGCACCTCAATCACCTGGAGAGTCATGTAAAATGCCGATTCCCAGGGCGCATCCCTACTCCATTCATCTGGAGTAGAGCCCATGTATCTCCATTTTACTGAATGAGCCATATGCTGATGATCCCCATACCACATTTTAGAAATAATGAATGAAATGACTCAAGATCTTGCTTAGATACTCCATGACTGAGGCAAATCTGAGCTTTGTTCTGGTTTGAGAAAGGCCATGGTGAGGAAAGAGGGGTCTCTCATAACCCCGAATTGAAGGGAAGAGCTGCACCCCCAGGTCCACCCTGTGGACTAGGATGAATGAGTGGTGTTTCCTAACTGTGTGAGGGGAAGGCTCTCCTTGCTCATGGAGGCTACTTCAAAACCAAGAGAACGGCCCAAGGCCCTCGGCTGCCCTGCGGTGCAGAGGCTCTCATCCCCAACAGTCCTGGGCCCCTCACACCTCTAGAAGCTCTCCTTGATGTGCATTTTCCCCGACCTTTTGTTGAAACAGTAATAAGCAAAATCAGACAGCAAATGAAGCCAGGTAAATTTTCTTTCCATCATAAGCACAAGATTAACGTCTAGAAGGCTTGGGAAAAGAGAAAGTAATTCATTTTTACCTTGCCTTGTTTTGGTCTCAGTAGATTATGTTTGAGATACTATGCTGGGAACAAATAAAAATAATGGTTCAGCCTACAATTCTCCCAGAGCTTCCCACCCTAAACAGGGGCTACTGGAATCAGAGTGTCCCACACACAAAGTCTCCTGAAGACAAACACTCCACTCCCGGTGGACATTGGTCAGCTAAAGCAGGACTATAATATAGGGCAGAACTTCAGTCCTCCAGCATCCCATTTGCATACATTCTCTTCCATCAATAATTTTGAAATGTTTGAATTAGCTATTTATCAAAAGTATTTGTTTATATAACTCCACATCAACAAAACTGAAAAAAATGAATATTTCAAATAATTATAAAAGAACAGCATATTAAATTGATAAACTGCATTCTATTATTAGTGCTGGAGAAACTAGGCACCCTCCTACCAAAAAGAAAAAAAGAAACCTGTTTTTAAAACACTACTTGGAATATAGGATCCAGCAACTCCTTTCTAGGAATTTATCTTTAAAAAGATCATCATGGATATGTGCAAAAATTTGCCTATAAGGATGTTCATGGCAAAATTACTTAGAAGAAATTTAAAAGAAACCAAAACAACTAAGACATTCTTCGGAATTCATTGAGTAGATTATGTAGATTGTTAGTACATCCAAACAATAGAATATTATGCAGATATTAAAGATCTTTTCATAGAAAAACCACTTAATGACACAAGAAAATGTATGTATTTTTTTAAAGCAGGAACAAATTTATATGTAGAGTATGTTAGAGTTTTTATTTTAAAATAAAATGATGGCTAAACATATATACAAAAGAAATTAATGATGAAATGATGGGTGATTTTTTATTTAATTTTGTATTTTTCCACAGTGTTCAAATTTTCTGTAAATGTACATTACTCAATAGTTGTGTGATTTAAGCCAGTTTGAAATCACCTTTGTCTTAATTTCCTTCTTTGTAAAATGAAAATATCAATAGCCCCTAATTCATAAGGGTTGTTGTGAGATTAAATGTGTCAGTATATATAAAATACTAGGACTGTGTCTGGCAAAGAATAAGCTTTCAATAAACATGAGTCATTATATTATTATTACTATTACAATCAGGAAAAAAAAGTGACCTTTCAAAACTAAATCTGCCAGGAAACTTCTAGAAGTCAGATGAGTGACGCCCCAAGTATATGAGTTCAAAAGAGGACAGGATGGCCCTATGCACCAACCTGGTAGCCATGGTATTTGATATATAAGCCGGTTTTACCGACTGCTCTCCAAGCCTAGGAACCAGACTAAAAGGTGAGGAAGCAGCCCTTTCTCTGCCAGGCCACCAAGACCCTCAGACTCAGGACAAGGAGACCAGTGCACACACAGCTCCAAGAGACTGCAGCTGGCACATCTCTTTCCCCTCAGTCACCTCATGTGCTCCCAGCTCTACCCACCTTCCCTCATCGAAACTTCTTCTCAGGAAGGGGAGGAATAGAGCCTTTCCCAATTACAGTGACAAGGACTGATATAGCTTAATGTATTGTTCTCCAAGAGCTGAGCAGTGGTGGCCTGGTAAATGTTTAGCAACTGGCCGGAAGGTGGAGCTGGGAGAGAAATGCCTGATTTGCAGTGTTTGGTGATTTCTGTGGAATGACCCTCCCACCATGGCTGCTATCAAGCTCCCAACGTGACATCAACTGGCTTGCAAACTTCCTGAAAATGTGAATGAGCCAGTACTTAGCTCAAGAGTACCACTGGGTGTTTATATTTAAATAAGGAACAAAACCTTGAAGTCAAAAGAATGATTCTACACCAGAATTATTGGCCAGTGAGGCTCCAGAATTATTTTGAAGGGCAAAGAACCACTCCCAGTGTCTTCCACAAAAACAGGCGCCAGTCACCATGTCTATGCACAAAGCCCGTCTGTGCTTCCGCAGGAGGCAGACTCCAGAGTCTGTGCACTCAGGGTGTGAGTCTGGGACCATCAGCTTCAGCGTCCCCCGAGAGCTGGTCAGAAATGCCAAACCTCAGGCCCTATCACACACTTGCTGAATCGGAATCTGCATTTTAACAAGATCCCCAAGTGATCCGTATCAACACTACAGTTTGAAAAGCATAGCTATAGAATTCAACATAAGAGAAATAGAGATATAACCATTTTTATTCAAGAAAGCCCCCAACTGTGACGATCAGGTGATCTTTTGTATTTGTATTTTTATATTTGGAAGCAATTCTTACCTTCCACAATCCTCTAGAAACGGCTTAACATTTCCACATTTTCCATTTCAACAATGGGGCATGGAGCAGTGACAAGTTCCTCCGTCTCCACTCCCTCCCCCAGCCATGGAGCCACAAAGCCAGAGCTCTAAGATTCTGCATGAGGTAGAGAAATATAGATTCCTCAAGAGCTGCTATTCAAGCCATAAGCAGCATGTGCCAATGTTCCACCCACAATCCTGGTTCAGTCTCCATTAAGCTGCACATCTGGCTGTCACACACTCTTTTGTGGGGACATCTCAATGGTAGCACTGATGCCGCCTCTCTTCGAGGCCAGCCCCACACTGGCCTCCCTGTCCTCTCAGCATGTGATGTCATGAGCATGAATGTCCTGCCAAACATTTAAGATGTTGCAGTTCACATTGTGTACATTGTATAGAGAAACACTGACACGCAGATTTCTTTTTAATTTAAAAAAAAAAAAAAAAAACAGGGCAAGATACAACTAAACCTTGTTCTATTGTTAACCCAAACCACCAATTCAGCACAAATATGTAACTTGTATTCTTTAAGCACACAATCTTCTCTTTTTTATTACTGTCATTGTAACTAACATCCTTAGATTCAGAGATTGCCTTGAAACATTCTTTTCTCTCTAATTTGGTTTCTATCAAATTCTTGGAAAACATGAGCCAGACTGTTTCATTTTCAAATCAAAAATCCCCTGCATGTGGTCTCTTCAGAACAGGCTAAAGAGAGAGAGTAAAGCATGGTGCGATTCTCAAAATCATCTCATCTCCAGTGACCATCAAACAAGAGACCAGGGAGGACATGAGCCGCACTTACAGAAAGGCATGAGAAAGAAGTCCTTTTATTTGCTGTTTCTCAAAGTGTAGTGTGGGGACCACCTTATAAGAATCACTGAGGATACACAACAACAATGCACATTCTTGGCTCCCACCCTAATGAAGAGAGTGAATCTCCAGTTTACTTTATTACCTAGCCATGATTCTTTTTTTTTTTCCTTTTTCTTTTTCTTTTTTTTTTTTTTTTTTGAAGAGACGGAGTCTTGCTCTGTCGCCCAGGCTGGAGTACGCTGGCGTGATCTCGGCTCACTGCAACCTCCGCCTCCCAGGTTCAAGCAATTCTTCTGCCTCAGCCTCCCGAGTAGCTGGGACTACAGGTGCAAGCTGCCACACCCAGCTAATTTCTTCTGTACTTTAGTATAGACGGGGTTTCACCGTGTTGCCCAGGCTGGTCTCGAACTCCTGAGCTCAGGCAACCTGCCCCACTTGGCCTCCCAAAGTGCTAGGATTACAGGTGTGGGCCACTGCGCCCGGCCCTAGCCATGATTCTTAAATTGGACAACTCGGGCTTTAGAGTCACATAGTCTTAAATCCCTTTTTGTTTATATAGTGGCTATATGATCTTGACAACTTAAACTCTCCACATACTATTTTCCTCATCTATAAAATGGGGACCATGGGGAGGATTAAATGTATGACGTTCCTAACACATACAGGTCTCAACAGCGTAAATTCCCTTTGCCATGTTACTTACGCAGAGTACTTTAAGCCTGCCATTTTACACGTGATTGGAGGTCATTGTCTTCACCTAGGTGAAGATTTATTAAAATTCTTCAATAAATTGTAATTGCCAAGTTCTCAGGGGACTCTAATGACAGCAGATAAGATAATCAAGACTGATCCTCTCGATGGTTACTGAGACAGAACCTGTTGTTCCACAGTTGTGCTGTCCAATCCAAAAGCCTCCAGCCACATGTGGCTACTGAACACTTGAAATGTGGCTGGTGTAAATGGAAATGTGCTGCAAGTGTAAAATACACGCTCTTCCAAAGACAATACAAAAACAAGGGCGTGAAATATCTCATCAATTGATTACATATTGAAATGATAATATTTTGGATGTACTGGATCAAATAAAATAAATTAATTTCACTTGTTTATTTTTAGCTTTTGAAATGTGGCTACTGGAAAATTTTAAACAGCTCACATCGTATTCCTAGTGGACAGTACTGTTCTAGAGGCACATCAACCTCTCCTCCATCAAACTGATACTAAACCTAACACTAGAGTTATGACCTCCAAATTGGGATTCCCTCATTAGTCAGGGAATGGTCAGCTAGGAGCGATTTGGGAGTCTCTCTTCTTACACGGAAGGGAAAAGTGGAGCTCATGCAGCAGCCCCCTTATGAGAGAAAACAAGCAGCAGCTCAGGGAAGGAGCGGGCGAGTCAATACATCCATAAGAGAGGAGACCCACTTAATGACACTTCTGACACAAGCTGGTGGTTGTGAGGAAAGGGATCATGGGGTCTGAAGCCTCCTCGTCCACTCCCTCAAACGCTTTTTGCTCCCTTCTGGTTCATAATCGTTATACCTTGACAACTTTTAATGAGGTAGGGAGAGTCCTCCAATGTAGTCACATGACTTTTATCCTTACAAAAGCTATATTATAATAGCTAAGCAAATATTTTAGTTAACATAAAAATTGTCTTCTATGGCCAGGCACGGTGGCTCACGCCTATAATTCCAACACTTCGGAAGGCTGATGCAGGAGGATCACTTGAAGCCAGGAGTTCCAGACCACCCCGGCCAACATGGCAAAACCCTGTCTCCACTAAAAATACAAAAATTAGCCAGGTGTGGTGGCACATACCTGTAGTCCCAGCTACTTGGGAGGCTGAGGCACAAGAATCGCTTGAACCCAAGGGGCGGAGGTTGCAGAGAGCCGAGATCGCACCACTGCTCTCCAGCCTGGGCAACAGACCGAGACTTCTTCTCAAAAAAACAAACAAAAAAAAGATTATCTTTTATGTATAAGTAATTTAGAAATGCTCTCCAACAGGTTATAATCAAAACTACACAAATTTCTGCAAAATGGCTAGCCCAAATTGGTATTTCCAAAGAGGAAATGTTTGCCAATTACTATACTATCAGCTAATGAAATTAGTATTTTATTTGAAAGAAGTCTGCCAAAATAGATTGCAATGTGTTTTCTTAGACCAGGCCCGTAACTTGATGAAGTTTCTGGAACAGAAAAACAAATAAAAATCAACTCAATGTGTCTTTGTCCAAAATGTCCAAACAGCTACATATGTATGTTTGAACGAAATGTATTTAGATATTATTACTTAAAGATCCAATAAAATAGGTTTCGTTAATTCTCTTTTTATACCTAGCCAATCAATTCCTTTACTAAGTGTTAGAAGTAGATGAAGGACATTAACTGCATAATGCTGAGAACTTTGTTTCTGATTGCTGCCCATTGATCGATGATTAAAGATGCCATAAAGTCACCCCACTTAAGAAACCTAGAGAGCACTGAGGTTATGCTTTCATGACCACAAATTACCACTGCAATACCGTGAATAAAATATAACTTTTTAATTATTCAAGGCAATGCAGAATTACTTGTTCTTGAATCACTGATCAGATTCCCTATAAATTACCAGTAGAGATTAATGAGATTTTTTTAAATCAATAATGATACCTCTGGATACAACAGAAGATTGAAGGCCAGTTTTGCAGACAGTCTGTTATTTTATTGCACAGATTTCACTTCAAGAATAAAATGCACCATCAGTATTTGGAGAGTTTGGGGTCTCAGATACTGATATACCATCAGTGTTTACACCCGTAAAGCCAAATTCAACAGTACAATTTATGTTAAACAACATCACTTCAAGATGGCTAACAATACAAATAGAGAGAAAAGTGGGGGAAAGCTTTAAAAATGTGTTAGTTTGAAGCATATGAAAATGTACGATTAAAAACTACATCATACAAACCTGAAATCAAAAATGTTTTGTGGAACATCAGTTAGAGTTATACTCACTTGCACTGTTATTTATTGCATAAAGTCTATGTGGTTCATTTCCTTCATATTGATGAATTGAGGATTTCAGGAAAACCATGGTTATAAAAATGATCAATCTTGAAAAAGTATGTACAGATAAATGTAAAATCACAAACTAAAAAATATCCCTACCCCTGGCCCTCAACTTACAAAAGGGAAAGTTTCCCATGGAAAGTTCGTTCCACTATTGCCCTCCCTCCCCCATCCCATGTCCCCAATGCTATCTTTTTCTGTCTCGTACAAGTAAATGACCTTGAAGGGAAGAAACAAAAGCCATCTTTATGAGGCTCCCATTGTCATCTGTATCAGTTTGAAAAGCATCTTGGCCGGTGTGGTGGCTCACTCCTATAATCCCAACACTTTGGGAGGCCGAGGCGGGAGGATACTTTGAGTCCAGGAGTTCGAGACCAACCTGGGCAACATAGGGAGCCCTCATCTCTATAAAAAACTTAAAAATTAGCTGGGTGTAGTAGTGAACGCCTGTAGTCCCAGCTACTTGGGAGGCTGAGGCAGGAGGATCACTTGAGCCGGGGAGGTTGAGGCTACATGAGCCGAGATCACACCACCGCACTCCAGCCTGAGCAACAGAGTGAGGCCCTATTTAAAAAAAAAAAAAAAAAAAAAAAAAAAAAAGTATCTTGTATTTCTCTTCCCCACCCCCACCTAACTCAGTGATGTTTGCAAAACATTTGAAATTTAAAGAAACAAAATATATATAATATATTTTTAATAAACAGCAAAAGAATGCCCAAGAAAAGAGCTAATAGGGGCAACACCAAGGGAAAAAAATGTCTGGGCATTATCTGAGCTAGAGATTTCTTTTAAGGCAACCAAAAGATGGGGGAAATGGGGAGAAGTTAAGACTACAAAATGCCAGACAGGATGCTTTTCTAGACCTTTGGCTTTAGAGCCTGGCAGAGGAATGGGCTTCCCCACACTGTGACGAGCAAACCTAGGGCCCTGGGCCCAGCATCTACAGCACCTCTGTGGGCAGCCGGGCAGCCCTCTTATACGTGGGCACTCTTCGCATGAGTCGGGGAGCTAGAGCCCGCAGTGTAGTAGAAACGGTTTTCACCAAAGGCCTGGGCATCTCCAGCGCAGCAGAGGATGACACAGCCACCCACGAGGCACAGCACAGCACCAATCCAGCCTGCATACAGGGAGTAGCCAAAGCTCACGATGGTGGTCTCACGGTGGGCGCACACAGGGAACCAGATGGTGGCAACAAGGGCGCAGAGAGCTGGAGAGACATGGAGAGGCGGTGACTGGGCGCAACCATCACACACCAAGCACTTGGGCAGGCCCACTCACTCCACATACACACACTTGTGGCTTCCAACCAGCTCCAAAAAGCTCCATACACACAGTTCTGCTCCCTCAACACTGAACCAATATGTAGCAGTTGGCATCTGTAGAAGAAGTAGACTGCTGGGTCCTTATTTTTTTCAGCAGGTAACAGAGACAAAACAATTCCAGTGTAAAAACCTAGAAATAAACCATTTAAGTCCAAAAAATATTTATTTGTATTTACTTGTATATCAACACTTCATATCTACAGTTATAATTCTAAAATTAGTATTCTTACTTAATTGTATTATAATTACCCCTTTACATGTCTATGCATCATTCTAAGCTCTGAGTTCTTTGAAGGTAGGGTCCATGTCTTACCTATGTCTACCTTGGTACAAGGCAAATAGTATGTGCTCAATGTAGACCAGTTGAATGGCTGAATGATCTGAGCTATTCAAATATGAGAAACAAGATGGCAGCCACCTCAATTTTCCACTCTATTTTCTCAGTTTGGTCAATTCACATTACAAAGATCTGGAGAAGGTATGAAATTTCTCTTGCTGTGGTGAATGTTGCTAGATGAAAACGGAGTACCAGATAAAGGTTCAAGTTTTTATTACACTGTTCACAATCACAAAATCCCAACACACAAATGAACAGTCCTTGGAGTAGAAAAACTCACCCATTCAAGGGTCAAAATGGTAGAACTTTACTTATGGTCTTGCACCAATCAATCTAATCTTCATTTTGGTTTTGATTTTATAGAGTAAAATAAGAAATAGCTTATATATCATGTAGTTTTTCACCTCTTTATAAGCAAAGTAACAAAACATGGGCAGGCAAGAGGCTATAAAGACTTTTTTTTACTTTTTTCAAATCTCTAGACCAGCACTGTCAAATGGAGTGGCCACAAGTTATGTGGGACCATTGATCATTTGCCATGAGGCTAGTGAGATGAAGAACTGAATTTTGAATTTTCATTAATTTTAATTTAAATGGCCACATGTAGCTAGTGGCTACTGTACCGAACAACACAGCTCTAAACAAAGTAACTCCAAACCTCTTTAAGTTGAGATGGCACATTAAAGTTGGCAGACAGAAAAATAATAATAACAATAATAATAACAATGAGGTTTCCATCAACAAATTCAAGACAGATACTGCACTGCCAGTCTGATGTTTGCCACCAGGGGTACCGTTATCACTTTCAACTCAGCAAGCTTTTTTCTGATTTCTACTCATAGTAAGTGATTTTCTAACTTACTCTCTATGCCCACAGAGAAGAAATATAACTTAACATAAGCAATCAAATCTAACAGCCTTGTATATTAGTTCTAAATGGAAAAAAGATTGGTCTTACCCATTTTGAAAGACCTTTTAAACAATCTCATCGCATTTGTGTTGCTTGTAACATAGATTTTTATTGACAATAGATTAAGCCCACCCCCACAAGCTGGGTATAGATATATGTAGGAAGATATGATTTCTATCCTTAAAAAGAATAGATCTCAAGAGGAAATCAGAAGGAAGAGAGTTAATTTGAAAAGCTATGAATTGCCCAGATTGGCTTTCTAACAGCCCAAATTCACTCCATTAATTATTTATAGATTATCTAAGAAGCTAAAATTGGCCAGGCATGGTGGCTCACACCTTTAATCCCAGCACTTTGGGAGGCCAAGGTGGGCGAATCACCTGAGGTCAGGAGTTCAAGATCAGCCTGGCCAACATGGCAAAACCCCATCTCTACAAAAAAATACAAAAATTAGCCAGGCATGGATGGTGGGTGACTGTAATCCCAGCTACTCAGGAGGCTGAGGCAGGGAGAATTGCTTGAACCCAGAAGGCAGAGGTTGCATGCAGTGAGCGGAGATCTTGCCACTGCACTCCAGCCTGGGCAACAAAGCAAGATTCTGTGTCAAAAAAAAAAAAAGAGAAAAAGAAGAAGCTAAAATCTATCCATATGCTAATGCTTCCTTTTTCTTAAAAAGTAAGCACAGTCATGCCAGCTTCTGTAATATTTTCATATGAGATACCATGAGAAGATGTATTTTCCTTCTGTGACTAGAATGTTCAAGAAAAGCAGTGTGTACGTGAAACCTCCCTTTCTAGCTCAGGACTTTGGAAACCTCAGATGCAGGGGAAAGTCTTTTTCTTTCTCTTCTCTGGCGTGAACTCCAAATCAGGCACTCTTGGAGAATTGCTTGGCTATTATCAGAGTCTCTACTTTCAGCAAGACACAGAGAAAAACCTTTTTCTCTGTCAGCAAAAGGGACTAAAATCCTCTTCTGGAGTGTTTCAGCCAGAGAGAACTACTGTAGATTTTCCGTAGCAATACACAATCTACTTACACAGCCCTAAACCTCAAAAGTGGGCATTCGTTCTGCTGTGGGCAAAAAACAGCAACCTAGCAAAGGCTTCCAAACACCCAGGCTTGTTTAGAGGAAAAAGAAGGGGAGTGAAAAGCTGAATTCTGTAGAGAAAAAAGTTCTAATTCCCAAACAACTGATATGGTTCAATCTAACCGATCTTTCCTATAAACAATTAACTGGTTTCAAAACAACTCAGGGTTCAAATCAAGTTTTATATTTTTCAACTATACTTTGTATTTACACATACAGCACATGTGCACACACATGCAGGAAAGCATTCCCCACATCTATTGTTAACCTAACTTTCACACTGAGATTTTATAGAATAAGACAAGAAACTGCCTCTAAATTCATTTCATTGTTCCCTTAAGCAAATCATAAAACAAGATTATCTTCACACAGGGAAATAACAGACTCAATATCCCAAAAGTAACCATCAGTCTTGGTTTTGAGTATTTTAGGGATTTTGTTAGGTTTTATTCCAATATAAATCATTAGAAAAAGGGAAAAATCAGAAAAAGGTCTAAATATTTCATACAATGAACCTCCATAGGAATGGATGAGTGAACGGGGGAACGAATGGATGGATAGATGAGAAGTAGTCTCATTTCAATTCTACATTTTACTTCATACATACCAAAACTGACACCCAAAGTCATAAAATCTTATTGTGACTTTAACACACTTAAAGTCGCAAGCTCATCACTGACCTCATTAAAGATTTCCTTCTCTTACAATTCACACAAAACAAGGCAAATGAGTGCCAGCAGGCTCTTTACTTCCTAGGAGACAAATGAACCCTGGGTGGAATTCCTGTGGCTCTCAAAGATGAACCACATCAAAACCACTAAAAAATGACAGACTGCCACACAACATGAAAGGAAATGAGAGGCTCACTGAAAACAGTGACCTTCAATTGAACCCAAAATGAGAAATGTTTAAAAACTAAAAAAGGAGAATTTACTCAATTTCAGCAATGGTTTCAAGAGAGAAAGAGATATGTTTTGACCAGTAAAGTTAAAAATTCAAGACAAATCATTACTTAACTTTTAAAAATGTGAAATAGTAATATAACTGGCCAAAAATAATTGCCTTTCTTAAAGACACAGAAGGCCTGATAGTTTTAATTTTATTCGCAAACCCAAAAAGATGAGTTTGGAATGGTTCTCTCTGTTATTTGGGAAAAATAAAGAAAGTGTTTTTCTAGAAAGTCAGTTACCTGTAAGGTCAAGAAAATTGAAGACAGACAAAGGGAATTTTTGTTCTTTTTCTTTTTATATCATCAGAGTTTATTTTTAAATTAAGTCTCTAAAAACAAGACAGAGTAATTTTAGCACTCAGATTTTTCAGTTTTTCTCCTTTTTTACCTTCAGAAGATGCAACAGCTAACTACACAAGGTGGTGGGGGGTACCATTTGTTGTTGGAAAACAGAAAGTAAAACTGAGGTATATTCTTAGCTAAAAATGAGAAGGAGGAGAAGGGGGAAGAGAAGGGAGAGAAAGGGAAGGGAAAAGAAAGCTTCACTATGTAAAGACAGATATATCTAAACCTGGTCCTCTCATAAGCAGAATTCCTTGCTCTTCAAAGAATAAAATTGTTTGCCCCTTTTGAGAACAAGTTTCAAATAATGCAACACAATACATTCTTTAATTGATAAGATATGCCTTGTTAAAAACTAAGAATGATGGTGATGTGACCAAACAGAAAATATTTGAGAAGTCCATTTTAAAGCAATGAAATGTAAGTGTGGCTTTTAATCTCTTTAAAGATGAGATGACACATGGTAACACATGGAGTTAAATAAACATGAAGTTAAATAAAATCAATACAGGTATGTTTGACGTTGGAGGTAACAACTGAGAGAAAGAGAGACAGACAGACAGACAAAGAGGCAGAGAAAGACAAGATCAGTAGACACTGACATTTCTTCCTCCTTCCAATAAATCTTTTTTTTTTTTTTTTTGATAGGATATCTGTCACCCAGGCTGGAGGGCAGTGGTGCAATCTCGACTCACTGCAGACTCATTCTCCCGAGCATCAATCCTCAGCCTCCCAAGTAGCTGGAATCACAGGTGCACACCACCAGGCTGGCCTAACTTTTGTATTTTTAGTAGGGATGGGGTTTTGCCATGTTGGCCAGGCTGGTTTCGAACTCCTGGGCTCAAGCAATCTGCCCGCGTCTGCCTTCCAAAGTGCTAGATTACAGGCGTGAACCACCATGCCTGGCCCCAGTGAACCTTTTTTCAAGCTTTGTCACTTCCCACTGAAAGGACTTTTTCTTTTTTTTTTTTTTTTTTGAGACAGTCTCACTCTGTCGCCCAGGCTGGAGTGCAGTGGCATGATCTCAGCTCACTGCAAACTCTGCCACATGGGTTCAAGCAATCCTCGTGCCTCAGCCTCCTGCGTAGCTGGGATTACAGGCACCTGCCACACCTGGCTAATTTTTGTAGTTTTGGTTGGTTTTTTTGTTTTTTGTTTTTTTGAGATGGATTTTTGCTCTCGTTGCCCAGGCTGGAGTGCAATGGTGCGATCTCGGCTCACCACAACCTCTGCCTCCTGGGTTCAAGTGATTCTCCTGCCTCAGCCTCCCAAGTAGCAGGGATTACAGGCGTGTGCCACCATGCCCTGCTAATTTTATATTTTAAGTAGAGACAGGGTTTCTCCATGTTGGTCAGGCTGGTTTCGAACTCCCAACCTCAGGTGATCCACCCACCTCAGCCTCCCAAAGTGCTGTGATTACAGGTGTGAGCCACCACGTCCAGCCCTGAAAGAACTTTTAAAAGCATCATTTCTAGCACAAAGCAAAATTTTCATTAAAATCATTTAAATTATTCTGACTTCTTACATTAGTAATAGCGAAAAAAATCTTTCTTGATATGCTATCTAAGATTTCCTTTTAAAAATCTGAAGACTGGAAGAAATGGAGAAGTGGAAAGATGAAGCATATATTACAGCCATGAGTTGATCACTGTTGAGGAGGTTGGGTTCACAGGGGTTTATTATACTATTCCTCTACTTTTATATAGGTCTGATATTTTCCAAAATAAAAACGTTCTTAAAGACCTTCTTGGCCAGGCACGGTGGCTCACGGCTCAGGAGTTCGAGACCAGCCTGCCCAATATGGTGAAACCCCATCTCTACAAAAAATACAAAAATTAGCCGGGCATGGTGGCACATGCCAGTAATCCCAGCTAGTCGGGAGCCTGAGGCAGGAGAATCGCTTGAACCCAGGTGGCAGAGGTTGCAGTGAGCCAAGATTGCGCCACTGCACTCTAGCCTGGGCGACAGAGCAAAGGTCCGTCTCAAAAAATAAAAATAAAAAGAAGGAAATTGACATGATTGGAAGAATACCCAGCTGCTCTCTGGGTATTCTTTTAACCAGCTAACCAACAATAACAATAATAATAGCAACCATTTATTGAGCACTTACCATGTGCCAGATCCTATGCTAAATAATTTTCACACATCATTTCACTGTTTTTACTAACCTGAGAAGCAGGCGTTATTGTTCCCATTTTATGGAAGGGACCAGAGACATTAAGGAACTGCCCCAGTTCACACAGCTAGAAAGTAGTAGGTTCCAGATTCAGCACAGTTGGATCTGACTCCAGCTGATAAGATCACACAATTCAGGGCACAGGCACCTCCTGCCTTGGCAGGGACTCTTGAAAAGCCACAAACAGATTAGCCTCAAATCCACCACAGATCTGAGAGCCTGCTGCTCCTGTACTACTCATCTGGCTTTAGAAGCAACTGGCTCCTATTTCTTCCTCCACAGCAGGAACCAAATCCTCACACCATCAAACGTAACTGCTGAGAAGATAAAGTTGTACAACAGACATAATTTTTTTAAGCTTTCACAAAAATAATTACAGATTTTCAGGGTCAGGAAAAACTGATTTCAATTAGCAGTGTTCACAGTTCCCATACCAGGACTAGCTGTGACACTGTGTCCAGTTCCCAGGCCCCCGAAACCCAGGAGGTGCCTCATCTTCTTTGGTCGAATGAGGTGTGTTTGTTCAGCCCCATTCAGTGACCCTGAGGACCTTGCACAGGCCTAGCGCTGGCTTCTCTGGGGGAGTGACAGAAACAGTCCAGAGCAACACAAAGGGAGCCTTCAGTCCCCATGCTCCTCCCACCACTGCCAACAGGGGAAACAAGGCACTTGGGGCTCCGTGGTGAGAAGACCTAGAGGAGATCAGCAGGTGCCATGCTTGAGACAATGAGCTTTACATTTCCAGAGCTAGCTCGTTCCGGTCAAAACAACATCCAGCCCAAAGGCAGTGGTGATCCACTGAGAAACAAATCCGGATAGGAGCAAAGCAGGCAGACAATATCGGAAATGCAAGGCCGTAAAAGGGCAATGAGGGGACTCTGGTGAGTGTCCGGAAATGGGCAGCCTCCTTGGGTGGGGTCAGGTCCCTCCATGTCCTGCTTCCCCCATAGTTTCACTCCAGACAGGCAAACAGGGACTGAGGCACTCACCCACTCCCCAGCCCCACCTTGCTTTCTTCCTCTGTGATGCTGCCTATCTATATCAACACACTTTTAGAAGATAAAGAAAAACAAATTCAGCTAGGAAGTTTCAAACCACCGGTTGCTTTTTCCTTCAATATCCCTGATTATTCAACTAAACAATTCTGTTGTTTTTAGGGTTGTTTAAACTACGTATACTTTGCTTTTATCCCTCTATTTTCCAGGGTTTGTATGTTTGTTTTAGTGTGTTCTCTCACTTGTGGATACCTGTGACATTCATATGGAAGGCCAGAATTTCTAAACATGAGCACTCAACACAACAGACCCACCTTTTGGCTCTGCCATCCTCAGAGCCCAAGAGAACCTTCCGGGGCTTCTGTGAGAATGTGAGGAAAGTAACAAACAGCAAGTGTCTAGGAGAAGGGTTTCACCTGGATTCTGCAAACCAAGTTTACTTGTGGAGCTTTCACTTTCCTGTTGGAAAGGGAGTCAGACAATAGACCTGACCTCCATAGAGCACTGCAAGAGGGAGCCCCTGTGAGTCAGATAAAGCACCGGATGCTGATATGTGTTCCGTGTGACGCTGGCACACAAATTCTTTGTGGCTGGAACCAAAATTTCCACATTCAGATTTTTCTCTGGAAATTAGTGGCCTTTTCACTCCTGTTAACACACACACACGCGCGCACACACACACACACACACACACACCCTTGTGGCTTCACAAGAACCTGCAAACCTCCGTCCCTTTGCAATCCTGGAAAATGGTGCCCCACCTCTCATGTCCCCTCACCTTACTGGTGTCATTATGAGTGTGAGGCCTCCAGATGGGAGGTACCCACCAAGTGGCATCAACCCACACAGAACCCTGACCCCTTATCCTTACCCCTCAAATTCATCATCTGATATGCCAATCTGGGGGTATGAATTCCTTGTTTCAGAAGAAGGTGATTTTATATCTAACCCATTACCAGACTAATTTGTTGTCACTGATATGCGCACTTTGCAACAAGAGTTGTTCTTAAAATTCATATTGTCTATTAGGATTTAGAATGTGCTAATGAAACTAGCATCTGAGGGAAAAAAACGGAGAGAAATTAAATCACTGACGAGAAGAGAGCTAGAAGGACCCTCCATAGGTTGTTAAATGAAGCCCTTTATGTGCAGGTATAATCAGCAAAACCAAATGAGCACATGCCATTTCCTGTCCCTGGACTGTCCCTCCCCTCAATTCATGACCAGCCCACCTCCTCTTCAAGTCTCAGAGCTTACTGCTGGGTTCTTCCACTCTGGAAACTCATCCAGTCTGGGTTAGGTGCCTTCCTATGTGTATGCACAGACTATATACCTTTTCTACATGAGCACATACCATATTCTATTGAGGTTTCCAAGTACACTCAAAGCAAAGACGGCCTATTTTCCCCAGTGTCCCCAGTACCTACCATGGTGTCTGGCCCACATGCTCAAGGAAGGCTTACTGAGTTAAAGGACGGAGCCATCACCTGGTGGTCTAACCACCCTCAACTCCTGACTTTTCTCTTGCCCTCTTCTTTACTTTTTTCTTTCTTTCTTTTTTCTTTTTCTTTTTCTTTTTTTTTTTTTTTGGAGTTGCACTCTGTCACCCAGGATGGAACGCAGTAGCGTGATCTCAGCTCACCGCAACCTCTGCCTCCTGGGTTCAAATCATTCTCCTGCCTTAGCAACCCCCGCCCCGAGTAGCTGGGATTACAGGCATGCACCACCATACCTGGCTAATTTTTGTATTTTTAGTAGAGATGGGGTTTCACCATGTTGGCCAGGCTGGTCTTGAACTTCCAACCTCAGGTGATCCGCCCACCTCGGCCTCCTTCTTTATTAACTGAGCTGCTCAGTCTTGCCTGCACATAAGCATCACCTGGGAAGCTTTCAAAAAATATCTTTGCCTGGCCTGATGCCCAGAAAATTCTGATTCAATTGATCTGCTGTGGGACCTGGGCATAGGTGTTCAAAAAGGATTCCACTGTGAAGACTGAGAAGGCTTCCATCTTTCAGGTCTTTCCCTTAGGTATTTCCTACCTTCAAAATCCTCTTTCTCTTTTTAAACTTATCTTCATGGTCAGTGACTCCCAGAGACATTACTTAGCCCTCTGTGTAAACTGCCCATAAAATACAAAGGGATACAGATTGTGGGAGTCCATCCCCCACTGGCTTCACTTGGCTTCCTTTCACATTTCTCTTGAACTTGAGAAGGCAGCAACCACAAGATCTGAGATTCATCAGGCTCCCTCATAGGTAGGGTACCACTGAGAAAGCTGTCTTACCCAGCAGAATGAGCAAAACACCAGCCAGCTGGGCCCGCCTGTACTTAGCCACACCGGGCTCCTGGCCCATCCGGATGCAGGGAAGAACAGTCAGCAGCAGTAAAATGGCCGGCAGACCCAGGACCGAGGCAGCAATCATCAGGGCGCGGCAGGCCTGCACGTAGCCTGGGAACAAGAGAGCAGATGGGAAAGGTTAGACCACAGGGTTCTCTTGCTTCCTGAGCCCTGCCTTAGGGGAATTCAGCACCATCTCCCTTCCTCCTTCTTGGTGGATTCCAGGACTTAGAAGGTGCTAATGTTGTCCAAGGTCACTAAGCACTTTTTAACTTTTAAAACAACTCAGCAAGAAAAAAGGGGGCTGGAGAAACTAAATGGGGACCCCTGGTTTAGGCCACTTGGCCAAGCTTCCAGGATGGAGGGGCCAAGAGTCCATTTACATTATTACATCCCCCTGAGAAAGTTCAGATGAAAACTGAAATCTCCCAAGAATCATTCTGTGAGGGCCTCTATTGGTTCCAGTCTGCTATTGATAGCTCTACCTGTGTGACCTTGGGCAAGTTACTTAACCATGATGTCTTATTTTCCACATCTATAAAGTAACAACAGGCCAGGCATGGTGGCTCACACCTCTAATCCCAGCACTTTGGGAGGCCAAGGCAGGTGGATCTTCTGAGGTCAGGAGTTCAAGATCAGCCTGGCCAACAGGGCGAAACCCCATCTCTACTAAAAATACAAAAATTAGCCTGGTGTGGTGGTGTGAGCCTGTAGTCCCAGCTACTTGGGGAGGCTGAGGCAGCAGAATCGCTTGAACCTGAGAGGGGGAGGTTGCAGTGAGCTGAGATCGAGCCACTGCACTCCAGCCCAGGTGACAGAGCGAGACTCTTTCTCAAAATAAATAAATAAATAAACAAACAAAGTATTGATAATAATATAATAGTACCTACATCTCTGTAATAGAATTCTACTGAAGATTACATTAGTTAATTTATTTAGTGCTTAAAACAGTGCCTATACCAAATCCTCAAAAAAGGTTAGTTGTTATCATTGGTGTTCTTTGTCTGTCTCAGTGCAGCGCTTTCATCTTCAGGTGTCCTAGGTGATTTTCTCCTAACCATGTGCTTTCATTCACATTGGCTGTGGCCCTAACCCAGACTAAACTAAGACTCAGGCTTCCTCTCTTTGCTGTCTCCCCAGAGGCTGCTGTCCTCATGGATCCTGCCCCTAAATTGTTGGACCCCATCTCCTGCCTCACCCACAGTGCCCTGGGCATCCTTCCCCAACTGTCCATCATTGCTTAAAAGGCATCTCTCCAGCCCTCAGGGTTCCTGGAGGGCAGACACCTGCCTTGGTATTCACGGAGTTAACACAGTGCCCACAACAGATCATGGAAACAATTGCGAATCAAGGAATAAGAGAACTGAAAAATAGAAGAGTAGAGCAAAACTACATGAACTTTATCCTGTCAAGTAAAATGCCAAGTAAAAACTGTATTAAGAAACAGATTACAATATGTGTCACATTTATTTAGAATAAATCTGACAAGATACTGGGAGAATTTCACAGACAAATTTGTTTCACTTTCAAATGTAATGTTTCTCATTAAAACTCTCCCTCCTCTTAAAAAAGGTGGGGGGGGTCACATTTATTACCCTCCCTTTTTTGCTCAGAAGGAACTAGTACTAGTGGCCTGGGTGAGGCAGAGTTCATAGCAAAGCCAGGAATCTAGCCGACATCTGCCTCACACACCACGACCCTCACGTGCAAAAAGGCCTAACTTCAACGCTGTCTCTTAGCAAGGAACGTTTTGCCAGAATTCGGACTTCACAAGGGCCCTCTTCCAGCACTGCCCATCTCAGCTCCTTCAGAATTAAAGATAATCAGTCAAGTGTCTACTGACTTGAAGATCTCCAGAAAGGAGCTCCAGGAAGTCTGAGGCCCATCCCCTGACCCAGCCGTCCGCCTCTGCGGCTTGTAGAGAGCCAGTACTCACACAAAGCAGGCAGTCAACTGGCAATGCAGGTTCTGAAATCCATGGCACTGGCTGTCCACATGCTACAGTGCCAAGGCCATGTCCGGACACCAAAAGATAGGGACAGAGGACTGTTCCTGCCTCCACCCAAAGTATGAGGGAGGGGGAAGGCAGGAAGGACTAGCGCCGCCCCCCACCCCCCCCCCACCCCCAGAGTATGCACTCCCCTCTGGAGGACAGCCTTTGTTCTCTGAAAACAAACCACTTGGCACTGAATGCTCAGTAAAGTTAATTTCAGGAGAAGAAAACAAAGTTAATTTTATGCTTCAAAGATCCCTACAAATACCATGCCCAGCTTTTAATAAAATACTATAGGTACCATTCATGAAGCATCTACTATCTCAAAGGAGATTACATTTCTTATCTCATTTAATCCTCAAATAATCGTGAAAGATGGGTGGTTGATCTGATTTTAACTTTTAAAAGAAGACAACCGTGGTTCACTGAGGCTAGCAATTTGTCCCCCCTCACCCAGATTGTGAGTCCTGGATGCCGGAGGCTGGCCCGGGTCTGCCAACACCAGCATTAGCCAAAGCTGAGTCTAGATCTGCGTTCGTTGACCTCTGGCCTTCTGAAAGTTCAAAATGAAGGAAAGGATAGCGTAAGGCAAACCAGGCAAGCACTGCCCGCAGCTATTGTGTGCCAGAGGCCATGCCAGGTCCAGAAGAGGAAGCAAAGAGAATAACAGGACGCCATCTCTATCTTCAAGGAATTTAAAACGTAGTGGGAGAACTTCACTCACGAACAATCAACAAAAAACAAGATAAAATGTGCCTTTGTGAGGATAAGAGCCAAGTACTAGGCAGCAAGGAGAAAGGAGGGATTCAGATTCCGACTGCGAGGACCGGAAATAGGGCGTGCTTGGAGGAGGCTTAAGGGGCGAGCACAGTCTTATCTGACTGGCGGCTTCAGGGACAGGTTTCTCCCCATCTTGAGGAAACCGGGAAAATCCTTTAAGTGAGCACAATCCACGAAGGCTGGGGGACAGAAGCCCACCTTGTAGGGACATGCCTTGGGGGTAGAGCAGAGATTCCAGCAGAAAACCAAGGGGGTGCCCGCGACCTCGCCATTGCCCAACCCATTGGTTTAAATCTGAATTGAGGCTGTCGCCCAAAATGTTTCCACAGGACACATGTGAAAATGTGGCCCCTGGCCGGCGCTAGGCTGTCAATTTTTACCTCCCCTTCCCAATCTGAGACACGCTGGAGGGGTGGCGGCGAGCGACCCTCGGCGGCGCGCTCCGTATCTCCCCAGTGGAGTCCGCCCTCCGAGGAGCGCCCGCTCGTCCCTATCCAACCCAGCGGCGCGGAGCGGGAGCCGGCGTCACCGCAGCCCCGCAGTCTGACGCGCCCACAGCAGGGGCGGGGGTAGCGGGGGCAGCGGAGATGGCCCTGGGCACGTGCGGGAATCAACGTGACATTTCCCAAACCAGGCAGCCCAGAGAGCCCTGGACGTGAATTGCTCAGCGGCTGCGCGGACGGAGCTAGGAGGGCTCTAACCTGGCCGGGGGCGCTTCGCCCATCCCATGAGGACCGAGAAACTCAGCCTGAGCCGGTTCGATTCTCCTGTCAGCTTGTGTTACACGCTCCTTCTCACCTCTGCGGGCGGAACCTAACGCGAAGGCTCGGCGCCCCGGGGGAGGCCGGGCGGGAGCGGGAAGCACTTCGGGAAGCGGACGGTGGAAGGATGCGGGCTGGGACCGCAGTAATTAACACGGACTCAGTTCCTATTAGGTGTTCCGGTTTGTTCATTCTCAAAGGGACCCGGCCAGTGTTACCACCGGCCACATTGCCACTATTATCTCAAATTCCAGATAAGAATACTGCGGCCTAGAGAAGTTAAGTTCGGGGCTGCCTAATTCTTTTACAACAAGGTGGGACTAGGGATGTCAAAAACGTACCCAAAGGTCTTCAAGCCCCCAAAATGTCTCTGTGACGCCGTCTAATATCCCGCTCTCTACCCAGAGGATAAGGATTTGGGAGCCGCCGCCAAGCTCGGGTCCTTACCCGGCAGGATGAGGATGTCCACCAGGGGCTTGCAGTGGTACAGCCCCGTGGCCATGACGCAGTCGGCCCACAGCCCCTTGGAGCCCAGCTCATCCAGCTTGCGGCAGGTGGGGATGGTGTAGCCGCAGGTCACCACCCAGTCATTGGTGGAGGTGGTCACGATGACCCCGATCCAGCCCACGAAGCTCGTGACGAAGCCCACCACCTGCAGGCACGTGGCCACCATGGTGGCCGCCAGGATGTCCCCGTGCCTCGCCCCTCACGGCTGTGCCTGGGCCTGGGCTGGACAGTGCCTGCCCAGGTACGTCTCCCACGCTCGCGAGCCGCTGGAGGGCGACGGCCCGAGGCGGGACACTGGAGGTGGAGGTGGGCGCCGGAGGCTGCGAGCTCAGCGGCGAAGGGCGCACGGCGGGGACAGCAGCGCTGCTGGGCAGCGCGCCCCCGCCCCCTCTTTAAGCCCCGCGGCTCCGGCCGGCGAGCACCAATCGGCGGCAGCCCCGGGGCGCGCCGGCCAATCGCGGGGCGGGGCCGGGAGGGAAGCGTGAAGGGGAGCAGAGTAACCCCAGGGGGGCCATTGGGCCGCCCCACCCCGTCCGCAGCGCAGTCCGGCGATGCAAAGTAAAACAATTCCATCCAGGTCCAGAGAAACGGAGAGCGCAAAGAGGGCGTGCGTTTGTCGAGAGTTCTGTTTTCCTGCGACTGGTTTCTCTTCTTATAGCCCCTCTCTCATCTCAGTCTCTGGGTGTCCATTCCGCTCCGACCCTCCTCAGCTCCTCCCTGCTCGCTCCTTCTTCCCTGCTGCGAGCACTCCAAGGGCGCTCGGTACAGTCCCCCGACGACCCAGGATTGTGACAGACTGAAAAGTGCAGTAGGGACAAACGCGAGGCATTCAGTACACACAGTTACTAGAAGAAAGAAAACGATGCTTTTCAGTGGTTGAACATCATCAGCGGCAAACGTGGCCATAATAATCAACAATAGCAACTCACATTTATCGAGCTGTGTTATATATTATGCAGATGCATTTTACATGCATTAGCTCATTTAATCCTCATAACAGCCTTTGAGGTAGGAACAATTGTCAATGACACATACTAGGCCGGGAGTGGTGGCTCACACCTGTAATCCCAGAACTTTGGGAGGCCAAGGTGGGCGGATCACCTAAGGTCAGGAGTTCGAGACCAGCCTGACCAACATGGTGAAACTCCATCTCTACAGAAAATACAAAAATGAGCCGGGCATGGTGGCGCATGCCTGTAACCCCAGCTGCTTGGGAGGCTGAGGCAGGAGAATAACTTGAAGGAGGTTGCAGTGCGCCAAGATCGTGCCACTGCACTCCAGCCTGGGCAACTGAGTGAGACAACGTCTCAAAAGCAAACAACAACAACAACAACAAATTACACGCACTAGCCATAGAGAAACAGCACAAGAAGGTTGAGTTGCCCAAGTTCACGCAGCTAGGAAGGGGTAGATACCATGGGCCCATCTCATCCCTTTCACGAACTGTTTCTAGGAAACTGTCCTGATCAGTCTGAAAATTCCTAAGGGGTTCATGTGTCCCATTTTAGACGCATTAAAAGCTACAGCAGACTTCTCTGGCTCACTGTAAATAAATTAATATCTGTACCCCACTGAGAAAACTGCCTAGCCCAGAATGAGCGCTCTGATAGTGTAAAGCTATCATCATCACCATCAACATCATTAAGCCACCATGCATACAAATAGGCCGCATTATTTGCACCTTTTTATTCAGATAGGGAAGTCTTCCTTGAGCTGCATTTACATTCAACAGTTTTCACTCCCTTTGAAACATTTGGCTTATCTTATTATCTCCTTCTATCCATTCCCTTGGACCACTGCCTCCTCACCAATCATGAGACTTAAAGGTGTGAGGATTTCAGAAAGCACAAAAACTTCCTGCTCAGCGTTCTAAAATCTAAGATACTAACCATAAATCATAGGTACTGAGCTTTCCCAAAGCCAGCCCTAATGCTGGTTATCAGTGCAATCACCATGTCTTCTAGGAAAGCCTGGACTTGAGGAGACAATTACATTTCCCTGGAGACCCCAAGGAAATCAAGTGCACACACAGAAATGGCTCTTGTAATTGATAGCAGAGTGTCAAGTACAAGGGTCACAGTAATCACCCAGGAAGCACAGTGACTAAGAACACAGTCCAACTGCCCAAGTTCAAATCTTGGCTCCATCACTTTCTGGCTGTGAGACCAAGTTACTTTATCATTCTTGGCCTCCTTTTCTCATTTGTAAAATAAGGATGAAAACTGTACCTACCTCATAGACTTTTTTTTTTATTCTGTGAGCTATTAGGTTGGTGCAAAGTATTAAACATAACGGCAAAAACCACGATTACTTTTATACCAACCTAGTAATATATATGCAGAACTTAAAGTAACATTGGTACAAAGTAAGTATTCAGAAACCCCTGGCTAATGTGATGCTTCAGAACGTTGTTGTTGTTGTTGCCGTTGTTGTTGTTTTGAGACAAGATCTGTGTCACCCTGTCTACAGTTCAGTGGCGTGATCACAGCTCATTGTAGCCTTGAACCCCGGGACTCAAGTGATCCTCCCACCTCAGCCTCCTGAGTAGCTAGGACTACAGGCATGAGTCACTATGCCCAGCTAATCTTTCTTATTATTAGTAGAGAGAAGGTCTCACTATGTTGCCCAAGCTGGTCTTGAACTCCTGCGCTCAAGCAATTCACCTGCCTTGGCCTCCCAAAGTGCTGGGATTATAATAGGCATGAGCCAGCAGGCTTGGCCTGATTTTGCATTCTTATGTATCCTCCCTATATTCGTATGAGTTTGATTTGTGGAAACTATTCCATAGGAGTATGTTCTGAGTGAGCCATTGTGTTTGGGGGACGTTTCATCACCAGGGTCTATGGACTGAATGTTTTCAGATATTTCCTTATAACACTTTTTTAAAATGGCTTTTGTGCTAAATACAACATAAAACATAAAACCCAAGCAACATCAACTTCTTGTAAAAGCACTCATGGAATCTGCACTCTTATGCCTCCATTAGAATTTGACATTCGAACCATGAAACTTCAACCAATCAGAATATAATAATGCCCAGATCATCCACAGGTCACACACACATAGTGTTTGTAAAGCCAGATTTCAGAACTCAGGCACTAAATGGTAAAAAAAAAAAAAAAAAAAAAAAAAAATTGCCAAGTTGTTAAGATTGCTGTCTTGGACTGGGACCTCCTAGGTTCACATTCTGTCTTCACCACTTGAGCTGGCCCTTCACCTACGTGACTCTCAGGTTCTTCATGTACAAAGTGAGATAGTAAATGCCCCCTTAGGGCATGGTGAGGATCAAGTGAGATAATTTATATGAAGTACTCAGCATAGTGCCCAGCACTGCTGGACACTCATTCACATTAGACACTGTTAGAATGATTTATAGGAAGCGTAGATTAATTGGAAGTGGGAGTTCCCTTTGGTAGAGATACAAGCTAAATAATTAGGGTATTATTATTATCCAATGAAAGCAATTGTAAAGCCAGTGTCTAATCCATTCCAGCATAGATGTACAAAAGGCCACTTGAGGAGGCCACAAGATGTAACCTGTTTGAATTCATTAGCCCAAGGTAAAGAGAGGGCTTGTCCCTTCAAAAGGAAGGCAGGAAGCCATGGAAGCAAAGAGAACTGGGGGCCAAGAGGCAGAGAGACGCAATGGGAATCCTTGACTATTTTCAGAGTCTGTGGCTCACAGACTCTGAGGATGCGGTGCCATTAGCAAGGCTCTGTAGGGTGGGGAAGTCCCTCAAGCTATCTTAGCTGAGACTTTTGCTAAAATCATCCACATTGCGGCCAGGCACAGTGGCTCACCCCTGTAATCCCATCACTTTGGGAGACCAAGGCGGGTGGATAACGAGGTCAGGAGTTCGAGACCAGTCTGGCCAACATGGTGAAACCCCGTCTCGGGGTTTCAAAATTATACAAAAATTAGCTGGGCGTGGTGGCAGGTGCCTGTAATCCCAGCTACTCAAGAGGCTGAGGCAGGAGAATCTCTTGAACCTGGGAGGCGGAGGTTGCAGTGAGCCGAGATCGTGCCATTGCACTCCAGCCTGGGTGACAAGAGCAAGACTCCATATCAAATATATATATATATATATATATACAAAATTAGCCAGGCATGGTGGCACATGCCTGTAATCCCAGCTACTCAGGAGGCTGAGGCAGGAGAATCGCTTGAACCCGGGAGGCGGAGGTTGCAGTGAGCCGAGATCATGCCATTGCACTCCAGCCTGGGCAACAAGAGCAAACTCTGTCTCAAAAAAAAAAAAAATATCATCCACATTGCTTGGCTGTGGCTCTCCTCCCAAACCCTCTTTGTGATTAAGACCTGACTTCCCATGCAGCACAACTTACTAAACTGATATTCTGGGTCTGTCACAGTCTCAGGTACCCTTTAGTTGTAAGAGTCAGTCTCTCAAGGTCTAATCACCCTCAGATAAACGTCAATCGTTGGTCCCCAGACCATCCAGACAAAGGTCTTCTCAGTTAATTTTTTCTCAGCAAACTCTGCCATGCCATCTTTTCACATTTCCACAGTACATATCAGAACTAGGAAGGTAGAGCTGAGACCTGATTTCAGGTCTTCTAACCCTAAGTCCAATGTTTTTTTCCATTATAAAAAAAAATATAAGATGAGTCATATGCTCTGTGGCTTGAGCGTAAGTTCGTTCCTTCATCTTACTCTTATTCAAAGGTATTTGAAGGGGAGGATTAGGGGATTAGGGCCAGTAAGGCCCTAAAACCCAGATGTGAACTAAACAAAGGAAAAGGCCTGGTTAACTGTTCTTCTACCATTTACACCCAAAAATAGTCAATCAAACTAAAATGCTATTCAGATACAGCACGAATGCATACCACAAAGCAGATGTGACTGCTGGCAAGCATCAAAACCCCACATTGAGAGCAAAGTTTGGGCCAACGAGTAGGCTCTTAGCGCCTGCTAGTGGTTATCTTTTATCATTGCATGGCTGGTAAAAAACTGAAGGGAGCTGTAACTTGTAGAGAAACATGATTAACCTCAGCTTTGCACATTCCAAATGAGGGATAATTAAACCCAACTGGAATGTGCATTTCTCTGTGGAAGTTTTCTTCATATATTTTAAAAAGATGATTCACCTCTTTAGAAAACCAAACATGAAAACACAGGACATATATGAAATTACTTAAGCAAGATTACTCAATTAAAAAATCAAGTACTTCTACTAGGCCCTTATTTACTTATTTATTTATTTTGTTAGAGACAGAGTCTTGCTGTCCCCCTGGAGGCTGAAGTGTGGCGGCACAAACATAGCTCACTGTAACCTCGAACTCTGGGCCCAAGTGATTCTCCCACCTCAGCCTCCTGAATAGCTAGGACTATAGGTGCACACCACCACACCTGGCTAATTTTTTTATTGTTGTATTTTTTATAGAGATGGGGGAGGGGTCTCTGTATTGCCCAGGCTGGTCTCAAACTCTTGGCCTCAAAAGATACCCCCATCTCAGCTCCCCATCACATCCGGCCTGGGGACCTCTTTTTAAGGGATAAATTCCTCTGGTGGATTTTAAATATTTGATGATACACACATACACACATTTTTAGAAATACTGTAGAACAAATTCATAGCATAAAAAGAATATCAAACATAGGCTTTAAAAATGAAATGACCTGTAAGTTTCAGGATTTTGTCTATTTTGTTCATCACCGAAACTGTTGAATGTGGCACAGTACGTGGCATACACAAAGGCACTCAATACATACCTGTTGAATGGAGCTGACTGAAGGGTTGAAAGGGAGAGATTGAATTTGCAAGCCTACAAGTTCCACTAGGATGAGAACCTGAAGACACCATGCAGAAGAAATCAGGAGGTGGTGATTGGAGCTGGTCTAGGGAGTGGGCAAGAGGCAGAGTACAGCTCTTTGTGGTCTCGGGTACCCACCTGCCGCCCACAGGAAAGTGAAGCCTTCAGCAGTAGAAGGGATGTGTACTGCTCAGGTCTCAAACAGAAAAGTCTCTAATTACCTAGACACGCTGGCCTCAATGCATATACTTCCAGCAGAGAAGAGTGGCACCTTCACAATTCACTTCCACCTGGAGATTCAAATTCAGCTACGAGAGGGGAAAAAATTCCTTTTCAGGAAATTTCTCCAACAATCACTGTGGAAAACACACCAGGTTCTCTAGAACAGACAACAGGGCTCCAGGTGCTCCCCCATATCTTGCCCTTTCTTCACAGTGCAACTAGAATATCATTCCTTCAGAAGCCATTTCATCCCAAATTTCCCTTCCTTCAGCTTGTAGATAGAGTAAAATAATGAAAAACTTGTACCTGGAGTTTTAGGCTTGAATCCTCTCAGAGTGTTTTCTCTCTTCAAGTAGCAATTCTATTCATCCACTTCTCTGCCAAGAGTCTCAGACTGCATTAAATGATATCCTGTCTAATTCAACCTATGAGATCATAGTTCCTGAAGAAGAGCAAAAGTCCTTATTTTTAGCCCAAATTCAACTAGCGATTACATTTTCAGAAAACATAGTAGTAATAGAGTATATAAGTGCTGAAGTGAAAAATAAGGAAATAATCTAACTAAAAAGCCACATCTTTAAATTCTCTATCTTAATAATTAAGGGGCAGGGCACGGTGGCTCACGCCTGTAATCCTAGCACTTTGGGAGGCCAAGGCAGGCAGGTCACCTGAGGTCAGGAGTTCGAGACCAGCCTGGCCAACATGGTGAAACCCTGTCTCTACTAAAAATACAAAAAATAGCTCAGTGTGATGGTGGGTGCCTGTAATCCCAGCTACTTGGGAGGCTGAGGCACCAGAATCATTTGAATCCAGGAGGCAGAGGTTGCAGTGAGCTAAGATCACGCCACTGCACTCCACCCTGGGCAACAGAGTGAGACTCTGGCTCCCAATAATAATAATAATAATAAAGAACAGGTGTTTGTCGGCCAGGCGCAGTGGTTCACACCTGTAATCCTAGCACTTTGGGAGGCTGAGGCGGGCGAATCATGAGGTCAGGAGTTCAAGACCAGCCTGGCCAACATGGTGAAACCCTGTCTCTACTAAAAATACAAAAAAATAGCTGGGCGTAGTGGGGAGCGCCTGTAAACCCAGCTACTCAGGAAGCTGAGGCAGGAGAATCACTTGAATCCGGGAGGCGGAGGTTGCAGTGAGCTGAGATCGCGCCACTGCATTCCGGCCCAGGTGACAGAGTAAAACTCTGTCTCAAAAAAAAAAAAAAAAAAAAAAAAAAAGAACAGGTGTTTGCATTTAGCTACCTAGGACATGGAAACACAGAGCAATTTGTTGACTTTTAAGTCTTTTACTGAAAACATGAATAATAAAATGATCAAAACAATCATGTGTCCTCTTATTATTCATTCAATATATAATAAAAAATCACCAATCATGTTATCAATGCTACACTGTTCCATAAAAAACTGTCTACAAGAGAAGCCTGTGTCTCAATGACACCAATTGTTTTCTTTTTGTTTCTTATGTAAATAAAGATTCTATTTTATTAAATTATCCTGAATGAGGACATTGTTGGGCACCAAGATCCAAAGCAGACAACAGAGTAGAGTAGTAAGGGGAATAGGGTGGAATCCTGGCTCCATCACTAACTAGTTGTGTGATCTCGAGCAGGCTGTTTAACTTTTTTGTTTAGTAACTGCATTTAATAACTAATATTCTATTTCCTCACCAGAAAAATTGTGTTAACAACGGTAACTGGCTGGGCACAGTAGCTCATGTCTGTAATCCCAGCGCTTTGGGAGGCTGAGACAGGAAGATTGCTTGATGCCAGGAGTTTCAGACCAGCCTCAGCAATCTGTCTCTACAAAAATAAAAATAGCTACTAATAGTCCTTGCTACTGAGGAGGCTAAGGCAGAAGGATCACTTGAGCCCACAAGTTGGAGGTTACAACGTGCTGTGATCGCATCACTGCGCCCCATGCTGGACAACAGATGGAGACTCTGTCTCAAAACAAAAAACAACAGTAACTATTTCATAATAGCTGTTCGAATGTTAGAATTAAATGTGTTCCTAAATGTACAATTATTGGAGTAGTGTCTAATACATAGTAAGTACTCAATAACTATTGGCTTCTATACCAAAAAATAATCAGTTGGTTGTAAACCTGTTTGTTTGTTTTGTGACAGGGTCTCCTTCTGTAGCCCAGGCTGGAGTGCAGTGGCGGGCTATCACAGCTCACTGCAGCCTTGACACTCCCTGCCCACCAAGCTCAAGTGATCCTCCCACCTCATCCTCTTGAGCAGCTATGGCCATATGTGCCCACAACCATGGCCGGCTAATTTTTTTATCATTTGTAGAGACAGGGTCTTACTATGTGGTCTCGAACTCCTGGCTTCAACTGATCTGTAAACACAATCTTAACCTTCATATTACAGAGCAGTGAAACTCAAAATGTTTCAAAATCTGGTAACATATGAATAAGAATTTGAAAGGAAAGAAAATGTGATCTCACCTACAAGTACAGCATATGGCCCTTTAAACAGCTAAAATAATTCTAGCCATCCCTTCTCTTCGCTGTCAAGATTTAACAACTGCATACAATTCCTTTTTCATTCTGATGATGGTATTTTTGCAGAAATTAGCTTGGCCACTGGAGGGCTCTTGCAGTCTCTCATTAGTTCTAGATAAATGATTTGATAAAAATTAACTTTACTGACAGACAAAGGATGAAGTTTACAAAATACCAATAGCACGGCTGACATGCCCCATTTCAAAAACAATTTGCAATATATAGCAAAAGGATTTAAAATATGTACATTCTTTGATCCAGCTTCTAAAAATGTATCTAATAAACTAATTATAAAGTATTCAATTGTTTTTATTTACATTTCAATTAACTGTTCAATTTAGAAGTAAATTATATGTTATAAAATATGAATCTTGGCCATGCACTGTGGCTCATACCTGTAATTCCAGTACTTTGGGAGGCCGAGGCAGGCAGATCACTTGAGGCCAGGAGTTCAAGACCAGCCTAGGCAACGTAGAGAAACCGTGTCTACTAAAAATACAAAAATTAGCTGGGTGTGGTAGCGTGGGCCTGTAGCCCCAGATAGTCCAGAGACTGAGGCAGAGAATCGCTTGAACCCAGGAGGCGGAGGTTGCAGTGAGCAGAGATCGCACCACTGCACTCCAGCCTGGGCAAGAGAGCAAGATCATGTCTCAAAAAAAATAAATAAAATAAAACATGAATTTGAAAATACAAATTGCTAAATGTACTTCCAAAATATCTGTACAGTTGGAGATTGGTTTTTAAAATATATATAAATATATTTGAAAAATATACACCGAAATGTTAACAACTTTTTTGGGTAGTGAGATTGAGAGTTCTTCCTCTCTTTTGTTCTTTAGGCATTTTCCAGTTCTCCATAATGAACGTGAATTCTTTTGATCATGAGTAAAAAAAAGTTTTAAATTTTAAAATTTAAAATATTTTAAGTATTTTTAAATATTCAGTATTATATAAGGATCTATAAAGAGTACAGGCATACCTCAGAGATAATGTGGGTTCAGTTCCAGATCACCACAATAAAGCAAATATCACAGCAAGGCAAGTCATGCAAATTATTTGGCTTCCCAGTACATGCAAAAGTTATGTTTACGCTATACTGTAATCTATTAAGTGTAGAATAGCAGTAAGACTTTTAAAAATGTACATACCAGCCAGGCACGGTGGCTCATGCCTGTAATCCCAGCACTTTGGGAGGCCGAGGCAGGCCTATCACAATGTCAGGAGTTCAAGACCAGCCTGGCCAATATGGTGAAACTCTGTCTCTGCTAAAAATATGAAAATTAGCTGGGCGTGGTGGCACACGCCTGTAGTCCCAGCTGCTTAGGAGGCTGAGGCAGGAGAATTGCTTGAACCCGGGAGGTGGAGCTTGCAGTGAGCAGAGATCGTGACACTGCACTCCAGCCTGAGTGACAGAGCGAGACTCCATCTCAAAAAAAAAGAAAAGAAAAGAAAGAGGAAGAAAAATGTATATTCCTTAATTTTAAAATACTTTATTGCTTAAAAAAATGCTAATAATGATATGAACCTTCAGCAAGTCAGAATCTTTTTGGTGGTGCAGGGTCTTGCCTCTATGTTGATGTCTGCTGACTGATAAGGGTGGTGGTTGCTGAAGGTTGAGGTGGCTGTGGCAATTTCTTTTTTTCTTTCTTTTTTTTTTTTTTTTTGAGACGGAGTTACACTCTTGTTGCCCAGGCTGGAGTGCAGTGGTGCCATCTTGGCTCACCACAACCTCCGCCTCCTGGGTTCAAGCAATTCTCCTGCCTCAGCCTCCCAAGTAGCTGGGATTACAGGCATGCACCACCACGCATGGCTAATTTTGTATTTTTAGAGGAGACGGGGTTTCTCCATGTTGGTCAGGCTGGTCTCAAACTCCCGACCTCAGGTGATTTGCCTGCCTTGGCCTCCCAAAGTGTTGGGATTACGGGCGTGAGCCACTGCAACCAGCCGGCAATTTCTTAAAATAAGAAAACAATGCCTGTAATCCCAGCACTTTAGGAGGCCAAGGCAGGCTGATCACCTGAGGTTGGGAGTTCGAGACTAGCCTGGCCAACATGGCAAAACCCTGTCTCTACTAAAAATACAAGAATTAGCCAGCGTGGTGGTGGGTGCCTGTAATCCCAGCTACTCGAGAGGCTGAGGCAAGAGGGGAATCACTTAAGCCTGGGAGGTGGAGGTTGCAGTAAGCCAAGATTGTACCACTGCACTCCAACCTGGATGACAAAGTGAGACTCTATCTCAAAAAAAAAAAAAAATTTCTCTGTAGCATGCGGTGCTATTTGATAGCATTTTACCTACAGTAAAACTTCTTTCAATGATATTCCCAGCATCTTCACCAGGAGTATATTCCATCTCAAGAAACCACTTTCTTTGTTCATCCATAAGAAGCAACTCTGCATCTGTCCAAATTTTATCCTGTGATTGCAGCAATTCAGTCACATCTAATTCTAGTTCTTTTACTATTTTCACCACATCTGTGGTGACTACCTCCACTAAGGTTTTGAATCCCTCAAAGTCATGCAGGAGGGTTGGACTCTACTTCTTAACTTGTAAGTGTTGATATTTTGACCTCCTCCCATGAATCATGGGTGTTCTTAACGTCATCTAAAATGATGAATCCTTTCCAGAGGTTTTGTGTTTATTTTGCCCAGATCCAACAGAGGAATCACTATCTATAGCAGCTATAACCTTACGAAATCTTTTTCTTAAATAATAAAACTTGAGGCCAGGCGCGGTGGCTCATGCCTGTAATCCCAGCACTTTGGGAGGCCAAGGCAGGTGGATCACGAGGTCAGGTGTTCAAGACCAGCCTGACCAATATGGTGAAACCCTGTCTCCACTAAAAATACAAAAATTAGCTGGGCGTGGTGGTACATGCCTATAATCCCAGATACTCAGGAGACTGAAGCAGAATAATTGCTTGAATCTGGGAGGCATAGGTTGCAGTGAGCCGAGATCACGCCACTGCACTCCAGCCTGGGTGACAGAGCGAGATGCCACCTCAAAAAATAATAATAATAAAACTTGAAAATCAGAATGACTCCTTGATTCATGGACTTCAGAATGTATGTTGTGTAAGCAGGCATGAAAACAACATTAATCTCCTTGTACATCTCCATCAGAGCTCTTGGGTGACCAGATACATTGTCAATGAGTAGTGATATTTTGAAAGAAACATTGTTTTCTGAGCAGTAAGTCTCAACACTGGGCCTAAAATATTTTGTAAATCATGCTGTAAACAGATGTGCTGTCATCCAGGCTTTGTTGTAGCATTATAGAGCACAGGCACAGTAGATTTAGCATAGTTCTCAAGGATCCCGGGATTTTCAGAATGGTAAATAAGCATTGACTTCAACATAAAGTCAGCAGCTGCATTCGCCCCTAAAGGGAGTCAGGCTCTCTTTTGAAGCTTTGAAACCAGGCATTGACTTCTCTCTAGCAATAAAAGTCCTAGATGGCATCTTCTTCTTCAGATAAGATAAGGTTGTTTCATCTATATTGAAAATCGGTTGTTTGGTATAGTCAACTTTATCAATGATCATAGCTGGATCTTCTGGATAACTTGCTGCAGTTTCTGCATAGGTACTTACTGTTTCACCTTGCACTTTTATATTATGGAGATGGATTCTTTCCTTAAACCTTTGTGTGTTCACTAGAGTTGTACTTTTAATTTCCTTCAAAAACTTTTCGTTTGCATTCACAGCTTGGCTAACTGTTTGGCACAAGAGGCCCAGCTTTCAGCGTATCATGCCATGTTGCAACATTCCTTCCTCACTAAGCTTAACCATTTTTAAGTTTTTATTTAAAATAAGAGAGTTATATATTTTATTATTTATTTTTTTTAATTTTTTTATTTTTTGAGATGGAGTCTCACTCTGTCACCCAGGCTGGAGTGCAATGACGCAATCTCAGCTCACTGCAACCTCCACCTCCCAGGTTCAAATGATTCTCCTGCCTCAGCCTCCTAAGTAGCTGGGTTTACAGGCACGCGCCACCATACCCGGCTAATTTTTGTGCAAAATGGCAGTAGTAAGTCTTTACCTGTCAATAATTACCTTGAATGTAAAGGATTTAAATTCCTCAATCAAAAGGCCTAGGGTAGTAAGGTGGGCTAGGTGTGGTGGCTCATGTCTGTAATCCCAGCACTTTGGAAGGCAGAGGCAGGTGGATTGCTTGAGTTCAGGAGTTCAAGACCAGCCTAGCCAACATGGTGAAACCCAATTTTTACTAAAAATACATGCTAGGCACAGTGGCTCATGCCTGTAATCCCAGCACTTTGGGAGGCCAAGGCAGGCCGATGATTTGAGGTCAGAGTTCTAGACCAGCCTAGCCAACATGGTGAAACCCCACCCCTGCTAAAAATGCAAAAATTAGCCAGGTGTGGTGGCACACACCTGTAGTCCCAGCTACTCAGGAGGCTGAGGCAGGAAAATTGCTTGAACCTGGGAGGCGGAGGTTGTACTGAGCCGAGATGGCACCACTGCACTCCAGCCTAGGCAACAGAGCAAGATTCCATCTCAAAAAAAAAAAAAAAATTAACTATCTTTTCTGACCACAATGGTATGGAACTAGAAATAAATAATAGGAGGAATTTTGGAAAATTCTCGAATATGTGGAAATTAAACAACATGCTCCTGAACAACTGATGGGTCAAAGAAGAAATTAAAAGGAAAATTTTAAAAAATCTTGAGACAAATGAAAACGGAAATAAAATATACCAAGACTTACGGAATACAGCAAAAGCTGTCCTGAAATGGAAGTATATAGCAATAAACTACTACATTAAAAGGAAAGATTCCCCAAAAATCAACCTAATGTTACACCTTAGGGAACTAGAAAAAGAAAAAACTAAGTCCAAAGTCAGTAGAAGAAGGGAAATAATAAAGATAAGACCAGAAATAAATGAAATAGAGACTAGAAAAACAATGCAAAATATCTGTGAAACTCAGAGTTCTTTTTTTAAAAAGATAAAATTGACAAAACCTTAGATGAAGAAAAGAGAGAAAGCTGAAATAAAATAAAGAGATATTACCATTGATATAACATAAACGCAAAGGATGATATAAGACTACTATGAGCAAGTATTGAGTAGTTAAGTAGTACCCAACAAATTGTATAACCTAGAGGAAATGGATAAATTCCTAGACACCTGCAACCTACCAAGATGAAATAAGCAAGAAAATTTGACATACCAATAACAAGTAGAGACTGAATCTTTTAAAAAACAAACAAACAAAAAGTCTCCCACCAAAGAAAAGCCCAGGACCTGATGGCTTCACTGCTGAATTCTTCCCAATATTAAAAAAACTAATACAGGTCAGGCATGGTGGCTCATGTTTGAAATTCCAGCACTTTGGGAGGCTGAGATGGGAGGATTCCTTGAGGCCAGGAGTTTGAGACAAGCCAGGGAAACATAGCAAGACTTTGTCTCTACAAGAAAAATTTTAAAAATTAGACAGTTGTGATGGCACATTTCTGTGGTCCCAGCTACTCAGGAGGCTGAAGTGGGAGAACTGCTTGAGCCCAGGAGTTTGAGGTTACAATGAGCCATGATTGTGCCATTATACACCAGCCTGGGCAACAGAGAAAAACCCTGTCTCAAAAAATAAAAAATAAAGAACTAATAAGGCCGGGCGGGGTGGCTCATGCCTGTAATCCCAACACTTTGGGAGGCCGAGGTGGGGGGATCACCTGAGGTCAGGAGTTCAAGACCAGCCTGGCCAGCGTGGTGAAACCCCATCTCTACTAAAAATACAAAAATTAGCCAGTATGGTGGCAGGTGCTTGTAATTCCAGCTACTTGGGAGGCTGAGGCAGGAGAATTGCTTGAACCCAGGAGGTGGAGCTTGCAGTGAGCCGAGATCATGCCACTGCACTCTAGCCTGGGCAACAGAGTAAAACTCTGTCTCAAAAAAAAAAAAAAAGGGAGAGAGAGAGAACTAATATCAGTTCTTCTCAAACTCTTCCAAAAAAAAAAATTAAAGAAGGAAAACTTCCACACTCATTGTATGAGACCAGTATTACCCTCATTACCCTGATACCAAAAGCAGAGGACACTACAAGAAAAGAAAATCACAGGCCAATATCTCTAATGAACATTGATGTAAAAATCCTCAACAAGGCTGGGTGCAGTGACTCATGCCTGTAATCCCAGCACTTTGGAATGCCAAGGTGGGCAGATCACTTGAGGCCAGGAGTTCGAGACCAGCCTGGCCAACATGGTGAAACCCTATCTCTACTAAAAATACTAAAATTAGCCGGGCACGGTGGCTCACGTCTGTAATCCCAGCACTTTGGGAGGCTGAGGCAGGTGGGTCACCTGAGGTCAGGAGTTTGAGACCAGGCTGGCCAACATGGCGAAACCCCATCTCTACTAAAAATACAAAAAAAAAAAAATTATCTGGGTGTGGTGGCAGGCGCCTGTAATCCCAGCTACTTAGGAGGCTGAGACAGGAGAATTGCTTGAACCCGGAAAGCAGCGGTTGCAGTGAGCCAAGATCACGCCATTGCACTCCAACCTGGGCCATGGAGCAAGACTCTGTCTCAAAAAAAAAAAAAAAAAAAAAAAAAAAAAATTAGCCGGGTGTGGTGATCCACCCCTATTATCCCAGCTCCTCGGGAGGCTGAGGCATAAGACTCGCTTGAACCTGGGAGGTAGAGCTTGCAGTGAGCTGAGATCATGCCACTACACTCCAGCCCAAGTGACAAAGTGAGACTCTGTCTAATAAATAAATAAATAAATAAATAGATCCTCAACAAAATACTAGCAAACCAAATTCAACAACACATTGAAAGGATCATTCACCATGAATAAGTGGGATTTATCCCTGGGTTGTAAGGATGATTTGACATACACAAATCAATAAATGTGCTTTTGTCACGTTAACAGAACGAAGGACAAAAAACATAATTATCTCAATAAATGCAAAAAAGACATTTGACAAAATTCAACATATTTTCATGATTAAAAAAACTCTTAACAAATTAGGTATAGAAATAATGTAACTGAACAAAACAAAGGCCATATACAAGCCCATAGCTAACATACTCAATGAAAACTTGAAAGCTTTTCTTCTATGATCAGGAACAAGATAAGGATGCCCACTCTCACCACTTCTATTCAGCATGGTACTGGAAGTCCTAACCAGAGCAAATAGGCAAAAGAAAAAATAAAAGGCATTCAAACTGGAAAGGAAGAAATTAAATTATCCCTGTTTGCAGATGACATGATTATAAGTATATATTCATAATCATATATATATCACTAAAGATGCCACCAAAAAACTGCTAGAATAAATAAATTTAGTAAAGCTGTAGGATATAAAGTGAACATACCAAAATCAGCATCCTTTCTATAAACTAACAACAAACTATCCAAAAAAGAAATTAAGGAAACAATCTCATTTACAATAGCTATAAAATAAAATAACTTAGAAATAAACTTAACTAAGGAGGTGAAAGACCTGTACACTGAAAACTATAAAACATTAATGAAAGAAATCAAAAACACAATAAAATGAAAAATTATCCCACATTCATGGATTGGAAGAATTAGTATTGATAAAATGTCCATACTACTGAAAGTGATCTATAGATTCAATGCAATCCCTATCAAAATTCCAATTACATTTTCCACAGAAAAGGAAAAAGACTCCTAAAATTTGCATGGAGCCACAAAAGATGCCAAATAGCCAAAGCAGAAAGATGCTGGAGGCATCACACTACCTGACTTCAAAATCTACTACAAAGCTATGGTAATCAAAACAGCATGATACTGGCACAAAAACAAACACATAGATCAATGAAAGAGAACAGATAGCCTAGAAATAAATCCATGAATTTATGGTCAATAATTTTCAACAAAAATGTTAAGAACACACAATGGGGAAAGGATAGTCTCTTCAATAAATGGTGCTTGCACAACTGGATATCCACATGCAGAAGAATGAAATTAGACCTTTATCTCACACTAATACAAAAATCAACTCAAAATGGACTAAAGGCTTGAATATAAGACCTTAAGCCATAAAACTACTAGAACTCATAATGGAAAACTCCAGGACATTGATCTGGGCTATGCTTTTTTGCATATGAACACAAAAGCACAGGCAACAAAAGCAAAAATAGACAAGTGAGATTATATCAAATGAAAAAGCTTCTGAACAGTCGAGGAAACCATCCGCAAAGTAACAAGCAACCTAGACTGAAAGAAAATATTTGCAGACCTTACATTTGATAAATGATTAATGTCCAAAATACTCAAGAAACTCAAACAACTCAACAGCAAGAAAACAAATAATTTAATTTTTATTTATTGTTTTTTTCGAGACAGAGTCTAGCTCTGTCACCCAGGCTAGAGTGCAGTGGTACAGTCTCAGCTCACTGCAACCTCTGCCTCCCGGGTTCAAGCAATTCTCCTGCCTCAGTCTTCCAAGTAGCTGGGACCACAGGCACACACAACCATGCCCAGCTAATTTTTGTATTTTTAGTAGAGACAGAGTTTCACTACATTGGCGAGGCTGGTCTTGAATTCCCGACCTCAAGTAATATGCCCAGCTCAGCCTCCCAAAGTGTTGGGATTACAGGCATGAGCCACTGAGCTTGGCCTATTTATTTATTATTTAGTTTTTTTTTTTTTTTTTTTTTGAGACGGAGTCTCGCTCTGTCGCCCAGGCTGGAGTGCAGTGGCGGGATCTCGGCTCACTGCAAGCTCCGCCTCCCGGGTTCACGCCATTCTCCTGCCTCAGCCTCCCAAGTAGCTGGGACTACAGGCGCCCGCCACTACGCCCGGCTAATTTTTTTGTATTTTTAGTAGAGACGGGGTTTCACCGTTTTAGCCGGGATGGTCTCGATCTCTTGACCTCGTGATCCGCCCGCCTCGGCCTCCCAAAGTGCTGGGATTACAGGCGTGAGCCACCGCGCCCGGCCTATTATTTAGTTTTTTGAGACAGAGTCTCACTCTCTTGCTCACGTTGGAGTGCAGTGGTGTGATCATGGTTTCACTGTAGTGTCGACCTCCCTGGGCTCAGGTGAGGGACTCTTTAGTAACTAGGACTATAAGTGCTTGCCAACATGCCTGGGCAATTTTGTGCATTTGTATTTTTTGTAGAGATGGGGTTTCGCCATGTTGCCCAGGCTGGTCTTGAACTCCTGGGCTCAGGCGACCTGCCCACTCAGCCTCCCAAAGTGCTGGGATGACAGCATGAGCCACCATGTCTGGCCCAAATAACCTGATTTTAAAATGGGCAAAGGATCTAAAGATATTTATTAATAGAAGACATACACACCTGTTAGAATGGCTATTATCAAAAAGACAAAACATAAGTGTTAGGATGTGGAAGAAAAAAAAACTTGCATACAGTTGGTAGAAATGTAAATTAGTACAGTCATTATGGCCAACAGTATAGAGAGTCTTCAAAAAATTAAAAATAGAACACCATGTGATACAGATATCCCACTACTGGGTATATACCAAAAAAATGAAATCAGTGTGTCAAAGAGTTATCTGTACTCCCATTCATTACAGCACTGATTTGCAATAGCCAAGATATGGACTCAACCAAAGTGTCCATCAATGGATGAATGGATAAAAAATATGTGGTGGCTGGGCACAGTGGTTCATACCTGTAATCCTAGCACTTTGGGAGGTCAAGGCAGGAGTTCAGGAGTTCACTTGAGCTCAGGAGTTCAAGACCAACCTGGCCAACATAGGGAGACCCTGTCCCTACAAAAAAATTAAAAAATTAGTTGGGCATGGTTGCACATGCCTGTGGTCACAGCTGCTCCGGAGGCTGAGGTGGGAGGATGACTGGGGCCCAGGAAGTCAAGGTTGTAGTGAGCCAGCAGCCCAAGACCCTGTATCAAAGAGAGAAAGAAAGAAAGAGAGAGAGAGAGAAAGAAAGAAAAAGAAAGAGAGAAAGACAGAAAGAAAGAAAGAAAGAAAGAAAGAAAGAAAGAAAGAAAGAAAGAAAGAAAGAAAGAGATAGAAAGAGAGGGAGAGGGAGGGAGGAAGAAGAAAGAGAAGGAAGGAAGGAAGAAAAGAAAGAAAGAAGAAGGAAAGAGAGAGCAAAAGAAAGAAGAAAGAGAGAGAGAAAGAACAAGAGAAAGAGAGAGAAAAGAAAAAAGGAAGGGAAGGGAAGGAGGAGAGGGAGGGGAGGGGGGAGGAAGGGGGAGGGAAGGGGGAGGGAAGGGAAGGGAAGGGAAAGGAAGGGAAGAAAAGGGAAAGGAATGGAAAGAGAAAATGGGGTATATGTAGCATATATACAAAATGGAATGTTATTCATTCTTGACAAAGGACAACCTGTTATTTTTCAACAACACGGATGAACCTGGAGCATATTATGGGGTGTTGTTGTTTTTCTTTTTAGAGACAGAGTCTTGCTCTGTCGCCCAGGCTGGAGTGCAATGGTGCGATCTCGGCTGACTGCAACTTCCATGGAGGATGTTATTTTAAGTGAAATCAGCCAGGCACAAAAAGACAAATACCATGTGATCTCACTTATATGTGGACTGTAAAAAAGTCAATCTCATAGTAAATTGGTGGTTACCAGAGCCTAGAGAGATTGGGGAGATGTTGGTCAAATAACACAAAATCTTAGTTAGGAGGAATAAGTTCAAGGACCTATGTTACATCGTGGTGACTACAGTTAATAACAATATATTATATACTTGAAAATTACTAAGAGAGTAGATTTTGTGTCCTTACCACAAAATAATAAGAATGGGAGGTAATGCATATGTTAAATAGCTTGATTTAGCCATTCCATGTGTATACACATATCAAAACATGATGTTGTACACCATAAATGTATACGATTTTAATTTACCAATTAAAAGTAAAAATAAGGGCTGGGCGCGGTGGCTAACGCCTGTAATCCCAGCACTTCGGGAGGCCGAGGTGGGCAGATCACGTGGTCAGGAGATCGAGACCATCCTGGCTAACACGGTGAAACCCCGTCTCTACTAAAACTACAAAAAATTAGCCGGGCACGCGCCTGTAATCCCAGCTACTTGGGAGGCTGAAGCAGGAGAATCGCTCGAACCTGGGAGGCAGAGGTTGCAGTGAGCCGAGATCATGCCACTACACTCCAGCCTGGGTGACAGTGCGAGCCTCCGTCTCAAAAAAAAAAAAAAAAAGTAAAAATAAGCCATCGGCAGAATGGATTTTTAATAATGATCTAATGGCCGGGCACGGTGGCTCATACCTGTAATCCCAGCACTTTTTTTTTTTTTTTGAGACAGGGTCTCACTCTGTCACCCAGGCTGGAGTGCAGTGGCGTACATCTGCCTCCCGGGTTCAAGTGATTCTCCTGCCTCAACCTCCTGAGTAGCTGGATGGTGAGTACAGGCATGCACCACCACACCTAGCTAATTGTTTTTGTATTTTTAGTAGAAATGGGGTTTCACCATGTTAGCCAGGCTGGTCTCGAACTCCTGGCCTCAAGTGATCCACCCACCTCGGCCTCCCAAAGTGCTGAGATTACAGGCATGAGCCACTGTGCCTAGCCTAATTCCAGCACTTTGGGAGGCCGAGGTGGGCAGATCACCTGAAGTGAGGAGTTCAAGACCAGTCTGGCCAACATAATGAAACCCTGTCTCTACTAAAAATACAAAAAAATAGCTGGGTGTGGTGGTGTGCGCCTGTAATCCCAGCTACTTGGGAGGCTGAGGCAGGAGAAATCGTGTGAACCCAGGAGATGGAGGTTGCAGTGAGCCGAGATTGCGCCATTGCACTCCAGCCTGGGTGACAGTGCGGGACTCCATCTCAAAAAATATATAAAAATAAAAAATAAGGGATTAATATCCAGAATATATAAAGAATCCCTACAACTCAACAATAACAACAATTTTTTAAATGGGCAAAGGACTTGAATAGTTCTCCAAAAATACACAACGCACACGGTGCTCAACATCATCAGTCACTAGAGAAATGCAAATGAAGTAACACTTCACACCCAATAGGATGGCTAATACTGGTAAAATGGAAAATAACATGTGTTGGCAAGGGTGTAGAGAAACTGTAACCATCATGCATTCCTGGTGCGGATGAAAAATGAAGCAGTCCTGTGGAAAACGTATGTGATTCTTCAAAAAGTTAAATATAGAATCACCATATGATCCAACAATTCTACTCCTAGGTATACATCCAAAAGAAGAGAAAGCAGGGACTTAAGTAGACAACTGTAAACCAATGTTCATAGCAGCATTATTTGCAATAGCTAAAAGGTGCAAACAATGAAATTGTCAATCAACAGATGGATAAACAGAATGTAGTATAAACATGCAATGGAGTACTATTCAGCCATACAAACAAGTGAAATTCTGAGACATGAAACAACACGGATGTATGTTGAAAACATCATGATCAATGAAACAAGTTAGACATAAAGGACAAGTATTTTTATTCCACTTACATATCTAGAATAGGCAAATTCAGAGACGGAAAATAGAAAAAAAGTTATCAGGGGCTGGGGGAGAAGATATGCATTAGGGAGTTACTGTTTAATAGGTACAGAGCTTCTGTTTGGGATAATGAAAAAATGCTGAAAACAATGGTGATAGTTGCCTAACATTGTGACTATGTCATTGAATCGTACACTTAAAAACGGCTAAAATACTAAATTGTTGTGTACATCTCATCACAAAAAAAAATTTAATTACAACTTAGAGGGTACTATAAATAGACTCTAAGATAGTCCCTAATGATCCCTGCCTCCCGGTATTCAAACCCTATGTAAACTTGTCCTGTAATAAAACAAAAGTGAGTGTGTGACGTACAGTCTGGGTCATAAAAAAATTGTGGCATGACGTTTTCTTCTGGATCACTCATTTGGGGTAAACTAGTCATGTCATGAACAGCTCCATGGACAGGTCCACATAGTGAGCAATTGAGCACCTTGTCGGCAACCATGTAAGTGAGCTCGGAGGCAAATCCTTCAGTTCAATGCAGCTTTCAGACTTCAACCCTGGGTAACATCCTAAGTGCAACCTTACAAGAGCTCCTGAGCCGCAACAGCAAGCTAAATGTTCCTGGATTTTTTTTTTAATTGCCCTTATTGATAACACCATGATATAATGTATAAGTAGCTTGGGGTTTTTTATTTTTAGAGACAAGGTCTCACTCCGCTCACTCTTACCCAGGCTGGAGTACAGTGGTGTGATTATGTAACAGCTCACCACAGCCTGAAACTGCTACTCCTGGGTTCAAGCGATCCTCCCACCCCAGACTCCCAAAGCACTGGGATTACAGGTAAGAGCCAGTGTGCTTGGCCATCTCCTGGATTTCTGACATTGATAAATTGTGGGGTAATTTGTTATGCAGTAGATAACTTATACCAGGGATTTGGTAAGGATGTTAAAGCTGAAGTCTAAAAATCATTAAATAATCACATAATGCTGGTATTTTCATCACCTGAAATATTGCATAAAATTTCCTGTTCTACAATAAAACACATTTTTCAAGTTAGTGTGTAACGAATAATGTACTTTTTTTTTTTTTTTTTTTTTTGAGACAGTTTTCGCTCGTCACCCAGGCTGAAGTGCAATGGCACGATCCCGGCTCACTGCAACCTCTGCTTCCTGGATTCAAGCGATTCTCCTGCCTCAGCCTCCCAAGTAGCTGGGATTACAAGCATGAGTCACCACACCCGGCTAATTTTGTATTTTTAGTAGAGACAGCGTTTCACCATGCTGGCCAGGCTGATCTCAAACTCCTTCACCTCAGGTGATCTGCCTGCCTTGGCCTCCCAAAGTGCTGGGATTACAGGCATGAGCCACTGCGCCCAGCCTACGAATAATAGACTTTAAAGGAACAAAGAAGAAAATGTCAATCTTAGGGAATGAGAAAGTTAAGCTCACACACGATACTGAAATAACTTGAATCAAATTTAATTGGCATTAAAAGTTTTTATTTAGTATTTGATCCACAATCTATACAAGTTATTTACAAGGCATGAAAATGGAAAACAGCACAAAATACAATTGAGGTATAAGCTCAGAGCACAGTATGTCATGTTTCAATAAATATAATTCAAAATTTGTAAACTAGGTGACCAGATACATGAGTCTTATTTTTAGTAAAACCATATAAAATATTTATTTCACGTGAGGTAGAGGACAGTTTTCTGTGTCATGTAATGCAACCAACCACAGCAACTTTAACCATAAAACTGTACATCATTGGCAAAATTTTAACTTTAATTATGGTCAATGTAGCCAATTATTTGTTTCAACAGTTGCAGAACAGATATTTCATTTACTGCCTTCACAGATTAGAAATTCAAAAGTAATTTAAGACTACTATGTTGGCTTAAAATTATCAGGATAAACAAATACTTCTAACAGGATAGTAAAAACAAGTAAAATTTTATTTCTCATAAACTAATTCCTCAAAAGATGTCCTACATTTAGCAACTGTTTTCTAGGACATGTTTACTAGAACTACTTTAAGTATGCTGTGCTTTCTTTTCAAGTGAGGTATCTATATTGAGGAAAAAAATCTTATAAATTCCTTTTACATTAAACTAATTTAATACACTATTTTGTTTTCTGGGCTGAATTTTTAAATTTTTTTCTTACATTTGATCACTTTCTAATTCAAAAATTGTAGCACTACATAGGACATTTAATTCTATTACTAAATAGGCTCCAAATTACATTATACAGTTTAGAAACCATTTCAATGAATGGATTTACAAAAAAAAAAAAAAAACTGTCCTTTTAAATGAAATGCAATATAAAATACTAATACACTTTTCTTCCAAAAGTGGAAATGCTTAAGTACCCTATACTAGAAAAAAAAAATTAGGCTGTTTATTCAATTCCACAATGTATAATACAGCAGTTTTATGTCCCTTATTGCTGACAGCTTCGATAAAAACTATTAACAAGTAGTTCCAAGCACAGAAACAGATGTACAGTATGAGCACGATTTTTCTTTATATTAATTTTTAATGTCCTATCATGTGGATTAAATGCATAAAGGGCAAATAAAAATGAGGAATCTTCCCTAAGTAATCAAAACATATGCCTTATTGAGAAGAAAATTTTAGAAGCTGATTAAAATCCTTCAGCACTAGCTTTGCAATTAATTCTGGAGAAATACCTTGACACATCTTATAGTATTTGAGTTTCCTTATAACTTTACCTTCCTTCAAACAGAAGCTACCTATGTGCAAATAAACTGGTTGTTCTGTCAGGACTTCTAAAAGATATGGATAACCGGCAAATATATACTTTATTTCACCTACTTTAATAGCTGCTTTACAATTCGCTATGTACAAATGATTTTATATCTTAACTGGTAATATATTAAATATGTTATAAAATTAGTTCAAGAAGCATAAAACACCCTAACTCTCATGAACACAGAAATTCAAGCAAAAGAATATGCTTAAACAAAAACTAAAGCACACAGCAAACGTAAATTGTTGGTCAAATCTTTTCATAGTGTTATAAGTTACATTTGTGAAATTTAGGGTAGTTGAAGAGCTTCCTCAATAACAGCAAGAGGTTTTACATTTATTACCTTTATAGAGTAGGTACACTTTTCTCATAAAGTTTAGCCTACAGAAACTATCGCCACCCAAATTAAACATCACCCAAGCTAATATTCTTTCTTCCTTCTAAAGATGAGCTAGCAAAACTTTTTATAGGTTGTCCCTTTAATGCAGCTTTTTAGAATAAACATTTTTACATTTTTTCTTAAAAGAATTATTTTTTGAAGTCTGAGGAAAAATCCGCTTGCCTAGTGAATTTGGCACACAAAGAGTAACAACAAATCAAACTTTAAGCTAGCAACCAACACACAAAATAAGCATGCAAAGAATAGAATAAGTTTTATATGGATAAGGTATTTTAGCCAACTCCACTTATAAGGTATTACAAAATCTCTATATTGTTTTGAAGCTATGTGTTGCAGTTTAAAGTTACTTTTAACAATAATACGTATATTTACAATTGACTTAAAAAACTATTTTCAAGGAAGTTAGAAACCTATGGCACACCAACGCATCTTCTGGAAAATGAAGACGATACAATGTCATGTGGCAAGTTTTCAATATATGAAGGACTAGAAAAAATATTTCTTTACTCAATTCTGAATTACAAGTTCATAATAATTTAATGGTGTTTAAGCACTGCTTAAAATTTTCCAATAACATATTTCAAGGATTAAGCAATTTATTTTAGAAGTTTTGGGTTAAACAAATTATCATTTTCTAGGTAACATAAAGCAGAAAGGTTCCAAGTGAATTAGAAATATAAATGAAATTATAGGTGTTTGAGTTTGTCTTCCAAAAAGCTGAGCTGTGACACAAATAATTCAAAATTAAAATAAAACTATATCATAAATATCTGATTTTTCCTTCTCCAGATCTAAATAGATTGTATTGGGAGAATATGTCATTTTAAATATTTGTTTCTAAAAATTAGCCGGGAGTGGTGGTGGGTGCCTGTAGTCCCAGCTACTCGGGAGGCTGAGGCAGGAGAATGGCTTGAACCCAGGAGGCAGAGCTTGCAGTGAGCCGAGATTGCACCACTGAACTCCAGCCTGGGAGACAGCGAGACTCTGTCTCAAAAAAAAAAAAAAAAAAAAAAAAAAAAAAATTTGTTTCTACATGTCATTTTAATATTTGTTCCTCCTTGAGAAGATTCCAAGACTCAACGAATTAAATTAGTCTTAATATAGCAAAATTTAAATGGAAAATAGAAAACACACATTTAGGTTATACTCAATTTAGTAAATAAATTACATTTGGGGAAGTACAAAATTCTTTTTGGATATGTACTATTAAGCAAAATATGAAAATAACTGGTTAAATGACAACCTAGTGATTCTTTCTACACCATTAGATTATCTACCTTCTATGCTGGAAATAGAATATAACCTTAACCCTAGCTAATTTATTTTAAAATAAATATAGCTCTCTGAAGTAATTTCATACATAGTATCTTATAAGAGAACATGAAAAACATTTATTATCCCATAAAATCCATGGGGTAATAATGTCAATTAATGATAGTTTCAGGAAACTCCCTTTAAAAACAGATCTAAGAATTTTACCTAATATATTTTGAGCCAAGAATTAACAAATATGAAATTTGCCATTAGAGAATGACAGACTTTTCTGTGCAAAAAAAAAGTGCAGAAGATGTTGTCCCTCCTGAAACTATGGAATTCCTTTATCTTCTAAAACTTATCTAAAAATCTTTTAGTAGCAGGTAACTAAACTGTCCTATATGCACCTATCATGTACTATCAGTTGACTGTAAATTCCTGATTTTGATATTAAGTAGTAAATGAAAATGGTCCATTCGTGCAAATTTTGGTAAGACAACATTTAAACATACAGAAGTCCAAAATAACCTTCAAGGTGTTTAACATTTTACAACTTAAAGGAAAACAAGTCCATTATATAAATTTTAGTAAGACTCATAACTACATGTAAAAACTGTACAGGAGGATTATGGATTGTATAGAAACTGATACACAACAGTGGTATCAGTTTTTCTCAAGAACGTTAATATTTTCACACCACTATTAACAACACAAACAAAAGTTCAGAAATTATCACATTTTATTTTTGAAAAGTTGCTGCTTAAAAAAAAATCTAACTATAACCACATTTAAACTGAAAAACAAATTACAACTGCTGCTTCTGTTTAGCAGCAGCACATAACAACACATTCTTCTTCCCCACTGTGCTCATGGGGTATGCTATAACCTCAGTAAAATTCCTCCTAGGGTACACATTAAAAAGAAGAGAACTGGTGGAAATTCATTCCACAATCTGAACAAAGTAAAAGTAAATTTGGTGTATGTTAATGAGTACACCATATCAACTTAGAAAAATTGTGTTAATGAGAAAAGGGGAGATTCAACTCCTTGAGTAGCTCTATATACTTAAAATATAAAGCCACCATTGTATCTAAAATTGAGTCTGAAATATGGATAACAAAATTGACCACAGCTATTTTCCAACACATATTGCAGCTTTTAAAAAGTACACAATTGTTAAGTTTGCATTAGAAATATAAGCAGATTACCTACTAGTTGAAACCATATAGTATTGTTACTAAGCTGATTTTTTTAAAAAAGTACAAAGAAACATACATTTTCATTCATTTGGAAAATGTAAAAATTTAAGTACTAATATATAATCTCTTCACTTTCTCTGATCTACAAATGGATAGAATGCCTAGTTATCGTCATGCAGATAAATTCTTCAGAATTCAATTACCAAAGCAAGCAACAAACAAAAAAAACCTTGTCAGTAATACACAGATGAATCTCTTTAACAGTTTCTATTCTTTAGCAGTCTTTGATGATTTCAGAATTTGCAGCTTTAGCTCTTTTATCATCATCTCTAACTTCTGTCTTGCTTCCCGTTCCTGTCTGAGTTCATCTTGGAGTTCTTGCCTATCGGCCTCAGCATGGTCCAATCTCTGCCTCAGTTCTGCCAACTATGTGATTTAAAAGGCGCTATCAATTTTAATTGTTTTGTTTTTCCATTTAATCCTCATATCATAGAAAATATCTATTTTCAAATTACTTTTTACAAAACGAACTATTTCATGTATACTAAATCCATTAAGCATCTAATACTATTAATCTGACATCTGACAGGACACTAAATTTAAGAAAAAGCAAAGGAACAAGAGGAAGGAACACATCCAGCATGTTCATGTTCATTATGCCCTATACTTTACTATACCGCTCATCACAGCCTGCTCATGTTAGTTATTTGTTCATGTTCCTTAAATTGTGAGATTCTATTAACAAAAGAGAATTGCTTATTTTTGCTCCAGTGCTTTTGAACATAACAGGCAACAGTTCCTGTTTGTTAATTTGTAGATTTGAAAGCTCATATACTACATTAAAATAATATAACATATAATATTCAGAGGGCTAGAGATTAGCAATTTAGGTAACTAAACTGCAGTAACCCGATAAAAATTTAAACTAATAAAAGCAACAAACATCAAAATAATCATCTTGGACAATACAGCATAAAGCTATGTTTAACAGAATTATCTATTTTGAAATCTAGCTTAGTAAACTGAGCTTGACAAAAAGTAATTCCTTTATTAGAGAAGTAACGGTGGCCGGGTGCAGTGGCTCATGCTTGTAATCCCAGCATTTTGGGAGGCTGAGGTGGGCAGATCATGAGGTCAGGAGTTCAAGACCAGACTGACCAACATGGTGAAACCCCGTCTCTACTAAAAAATACAAAATTTAGCTGGGCATAGTGTCGCACGCCTGTAATCCCAGCTACAATCAGGAGGCTGAGGCAGGAAAATTGCTTGAACCCGGGAGGCAGAGGTTGTGGGGAGCTGAGATTGTGCCACTGCACTCCAGCCTGGGCGACAGAGCAGTCTCTGTCTCAAAAAAAAAAAAGAGAGAAGTAACAGTTTCCATTTCCATGCTGAAAGGGCACCATTATACAAACAGTAATTCTTACCTGTCCTGCATATTCAGCCTCTTTGTCTTTTTCTAAATTTGAGTCACAGGTACATTTTTGCTTCATTATCTGCTCCAATTTTTTCTCTAAGTCTTTCTGTTCAACATAAAATTCTTCCATTCTTTGAGCATGTTCATTCTGCAAAGATTCAAGCTCTTTCTGTAAATTCTGCTGTTCTTCAGTGAGTTCCTTCATAGATTTTGAACTACTCAACATTTTTACTTCCTGTAATGTAAAGAATCACAATACAAGTTTTACTTTATTTTCACCATGTTAAAATTTTCAGTTCTGGAAAACATAGCACAGAAAATACCTAAAATTCAGCTATCATTATCAGTTCTATATAGAGGTAATTATTTTAAAAAACTATTTTCTCAAAAAATTTTAAAATATATTAAAATTGCTTTTCAGTGTAAAACAATAATCTTAAGTACATTTGTAGCATCTCGTTTTGACTTTTCTTACTAAGAATATACAGGGGGGCTGGGCGCAGTGGCTCACACCTGTAATCCCAGCACTTTGGGAGGCCAAGGCTGGTGGATCACAAGGTCAAAAGTTCGAGCCTGGCCAGCATGGAGAAACCCCATCTCTACTAAGAATACAAAATTTAGCCAGGCATGGTGGCACGTGCCTGTAATGCTAGCTACTCGGAAGGCTAAGGCAGAAGAATTGCTTGAACCTGTGAGGTGGAGGTTTCAGTGAGCTGAGACTGCGCCACTGCACTCCAGCCTGGGCGACAGAGCAATATACAAAAGTATCTTTTCATAATGGACTATCATTTAGATAACAATTTTACCATCTGAAGTTGTTGCTTCTTTTGCAAAATCAAGTTTAGTTTTTCCTGTTGTTTTAAATAAGTTCTCATTACTTCTTCCATGATTTTTCCCTTATCATCCTCACAAATGACATCTTTCACAAGAAGCGGAGATGAAGCGGCAGCAACAAGGCCAATTCCCACTTTGTTTATGTCTCTGACTAAGTTGCAAGTGGCAGACTCAGATTTCCTTTTACTTGTAGAATTATTTGAGATTGATGCATCTTGGAGAGAAAAAAATCAAGTAACAAAGTATGAATATCACTCCATTAAAAAAATCACTAGAACAATCCATAAATGTAATTTTTAAAACATTTCATTTATAAATTAGACCAAAACAAATAAAATAGGAATAAATTTAACAAAAGCAGTGCAAGTACAATGAAAACTACAAAACATCACTAAAAGAAATTTAAGACCTAAATACATGGAAAGACATCCCAAATTCATGGATTGGAAGACTTAATATTGTTAAGACAGTAATAGTCTCCAAATTGATCTACTTATCAGTGCAATCCCTATCAAAATCCCCACTGGATTTTTTGCAGAAATTGAAAAGCAGTTTCTAAAATCCATATGGAAATGCAACAAACCCAAAATAGGCAAAATAATCTTGAAAAAGAATAACGAAGTTGAAAGACTCACAATTCCCAATTTCAAAGCTTACTACAAAGCTACAGAAATCAAGACTGTGTGACATGATTTAAAGATAGACATACAGATCAGTAGAACAGAATTCAGAGTCCAGAAATTTAAAAAACTCATACTTTATAAGGCAATTGTTGTTGACAAAGGTGCCAAAGCAATTCAGTCAGGAAAGAATAATCTTTTCTGGCCAGGCGCGGTGGCTCACGCCTGTAATCCCAGCACTTTGGGAGGCCGAGAAGGGCGGATCACGACGTCAGGAGATTGAGACCATCCTGGCTAACATGGTGAAACCCTGTCTCTACTAAAAAATACAAAAAATTTGCCAGGCTTGGTGGCGGGCGCCTGTAGTCCCAGCTACTCGGGAGGCTGAGGCAGAAGAATGGCGTGAACCTGGGAGGCGGAGCTTGCAGTGAGCCGAGATAGCGCCACTGCACTCCAGCCTGGGCAACAGAGCAAGACTCCGTCTCAAAAAAAAAAAAAAAGGAAAGAATAATCTTTTCAACATACGGACAACTATATCCACATGCAAAAGAATAAGGTTGGACCTTATGCTGTATACAAAAATTAACTCTAAACTGATCAAAGACCTAAATGTAAGAGCTACAACCCTTAAACATAAATTTCTTGGCTGGATGTGGTGGCTCACGCCTATAATCCCAGCACTTTGGGAGGCCGAGGCAGGTGGATTACCTGAGGTCAGGAGTTCACCACCAGCCTGACCAACATGGTAAAACTCTGTCTCTACTAAAAATACAAAAAAAATTAGCCAGGCATGGTGGCGCGCACCTGTAATCCCAGCTACTCAGGAGGCTGAGACAGAAAAATTGGTTGAACCCGGGAGGTGGAGGTTGCAGTGAGCTGAGATGGCACCACTGTACTCCAGCCTGGGCAACAGAGTGAGACTCTGTCTCAAAAATAAATAAATAAATAAATAAATACATAAATAAATATTTCTTGGAATTGGGATTAGGCAATAGTTTCTTAGATATGATACCTAAAACAAGAAAAAAATAGATAAATTGGATGTAATAAACATTTAAAACTTTTGTGCTTCAAAGAACACTAACACGGCCAAGCGCGGTGGCTCACACCAGTAATCCCAACACTTTGGGAGGCTGAGGCAGGTGGATTGCTTAAGCTCACGAGTTTGAGACCAGCCTCAACATGGCAAAACCCCAACTCCACCAAAAATACAAAAATTAGCCGAGCATGGTGGTACATCCCTGTAGTCCCAGCTACTTGGGAGGCTGAGGTGAAAGGATGGATTAAGCCCAGGAGGTAGAGGTTGCAGTGAGCCAAGCTGGGGTGATACAGCCAGACTTTGTCTCAGGAAAAAAAAAAGAACACTAACAAGAAAGTAAAAAGAAAACAGTATGGTAAATCAAATATCTGATAAGGATCCAGTATCCAGAATATATAAAGAACTCTTACAACTCAATAGTAAAACAACCTAGCATTAAAATAGCCAAAAGACCTGAATAGACATTTCTCCAAAGATATGCAATGTCCAAGAAAAACATGAAAAGATACTCAATATCATCATTCACTGAGAAATTGCAAATTAAAACCATGAAATACCACTTCACAACCACTAGGATGGCTATATTCAAAAGACAAACAATAACAAGTGTTGACAAAGATATGCAAAATTTGAAACTCCCAAGCTACCACAGGAATGTAAAATGGTGCAACTGCTTTTGAAAAGTTTGGCAGTTCCTCAAAACATTAAACATAATTACCACATGACCTAGCAATTTCACTCCTAAATACATACCAAAAAAAAACTGAAAATATAGTTCTACACTTAAACTTCTACACAAGTATTTATAGCAGCATTATTCTTTTTTTTTTTTTTTTTTTTTTTTGAGACGGAGTCTCGCTCTGTCGCCCAGGCTGGAGTGCAGTGGCGGGATCTCGGCTCACTGCAAGCTCCGCCTCCCGGGTTCACGCCATTCTCCTGCCTCAGCCTCCCAAGTAGCTGGGACTACAGGCGCCCGCCACTACGCCCGGCTAATTTTTTTGTATTTTTTTTTTTTTTTAGTAGAGACGGGGTTTCACCGTTTTAGCCGGGATGGTCTCGATCTCCTGACCTCGTGATCCGCCCGCCTCGGCCTCCCAAAGTGCTGGGATTACAGGCGTGAGCCACCGCGCCCGGCCTATAGCAGCATTATTCTTAATTGCCAAAAAGTAGACCCAATGCAAATGTCCGACTGACGAAGGAATAAAAAAAATGTGGTATATTCACATAATGGAATCTTATCAGGCCATAAAAAGAAGTACTGGTACATGCAACAACATGGACTGTGAAAACATTATCTTTCATGAAAGAAGCATAAGCTTCTTGACCAGACATGAAAAGCCACATATTGTACAATTCCTTTTATATGAAATGTCCAGAATAAGCAAATCCATAAAGATAGAAAATAGATTAGTGGTTGCCAGAGGCTTCGAGAAAGGGAGAATCAGGGAGTGACTCCTAATGGATTATAGGGTTAATTTTTGGAGTGATGAAAACATTATGGGCCGAGGCGGGTGGATCACCTAAGGTCAGGAGTTCAAGATCAGCCTGACTAACATGGCGAAAACCCTGTCTCTTACTAATAATACAAAAAAATTAGCCAGGCGTGGTGACACACGCCTGTAATCCCAGCTACTCAGGAGGCTGAGGCAGGAGAATCGCTTGAACCCGGGAGGCAGAGCTTGCAGTGAGCCGAAATCACCCCACTGCACTCTAGCCTGGGCGACAAGAGTGAAACTCCATCTTAAAAAAAAAGAAAGAAAAGAAAACATTATGGAACTAAATTAGCTGTGATGGTTGCACAACTTTGTGAATGTATTAAAAACCACTGAATTGTAGGCTTTAAAAGGGTAAATTTTATGGTATATAAATTATCTCAATAATTTTTTAGAAGTCATTAGAATTAATTTAAGAAATAAAATACAATGTAAATATGGCATAATAGTCATTACTAATTTTTGTTTACCATATTTAAATCTGAAGAAAACTGAGTTTTAAAAATCTCAAAATTGGCCAGGCATGGTGGCTCACATCTGTAATCCCAATGCTTTAGGAGGCCAAGGCAGGAGGATCACTTGAGGCTAAGAGCTTAATGCCAGCCTGGGCAATACAGTGAGACCCTGTCTCTACAAAAAAAATGAAAAAATGAGGCAGGCGCAGTGGCACATGCCTGTAGTCCTAGCTACTAGGGAGGCTGAGGTGCAAGGACTATGAGCCCAGCAATTTGAAGCTGCGGTGAGCTATGAATGCATCACTGTACTCCACCAGCCTAGAGCAACAGAGTGAGACTCTGTCTCTAAAAAAGAAAAACGAAACAAAAAACCCTCAAAATAAATGTATAGAAAACCCCTGGCCGGGCGCGATGGCTCACGCCTGTAATCCCAGCACTTTGGGAGGCCGAGGCAGGCGGATCACCTGAGGTCAGGAGTTCGAGACCAGACTGACCAACATGGAAAAACCCCGTGTCTACTAAAAATACAAAATTAGCCGGGCGTGGTGGTGCATGCCTATAATCCCAGCTGCTCAGGAGGCTGAGGCAGGAGAATCACTTGAACCTGGGAGGCGGAGATTGCAGTGAGCCGAGATCACACCGTTGCACTCTAGCCTGGGCAACAAATACGAAACTCTGTCTCCAAACAAACAAACAAACAAACAAAAAAACCAGAAAACCCCCACCCAAGAATCAGCCAGGCGTGGTGGCTCACGCCTGGAATCCCAGCACTTTGGTTGGGAGGCCGAGGCAGGCGGATCACCTGAGGTCAGGAGTTCAAGACCAGCCTGACCAACATGGAGAAAACCCGTCTCTACTAAAAATACAAAATTAGCGGGGTGTGGTGGTGCATGCCTGTAATCTCAGCTACTCAGGAGGCTGAGGCAGGAGAATCTGGGAGGTGGAGGTTGCGGTGAGCTGAGATCTCACCATTTTACTCCAGCCTGGGCAACAAGAGTGAAACTCCTCAAAAAAAAAAAAGAAAAAAAAGAAAGAAAGAAAGAAAAGAAAACCCCCAAGAATCTCAATTCTCTATAAAAACTTAAATAAATAGAGGACCCTCCAACTGTTCCAATGCAGCTAAAGTAACTGTCACACTGCCTAATCACTAAGCAAAGCTGTGCTGCTATATGGATGGTAACACAGGCAATATCTGCAGACATGTCTCATTTAATCCACAGTATTTTAAAAGGCACGGTAAGTAACCAGCTATTTTTCTTTTAAATGACCAGTCAATATTCCACATTTATGCTATATGCCTGGCCCCCAGAGCTTTCAATCCTTGCTTTATTCCATAACTAAGCTTCCTTGAGTTCTATACCTAACTACTCTTACTTACATAATACTTCTTATTATTAAATGGTGTCTCAGTTCATGGCAAATCAGAAAGAAAAATAAAGGTTGGGTGCGGTGGCTCACAACTGTAATCCCAACACTTTGAGAGGCCAAGGCAGGAGGATCACTTGAGCCCAGGAGTTCGAGACCAGCTTGAGCAACATACCAAGACCATCTCTACAAAAAAAAAAAAAAAAATTTTTTTTTTTAATTAGCCAGGCACAGTGGTGTGCGCCTCTGGTCCCAGCTACTAGGGAGGGTGAGGTGGGAGGATCACTTGAGCCCAAAGGTTGAGGCTGCAGTGACCGCAATCTCACCACTGCACTTCAGCCTAGGCGATAAAGACTCTGTCACAAAAAAAGAAAAAAAAAGGAGGAAAGAAAAACAAGGATCTCCTGAAGACTGACAGCAAATAAAAGGTAGGAAAGGAAAAAAATTCGGACAAAAATAACTTGCAGTCTGAGGCCAGGTAGCCTGTATCTATCTCAGTCTCCTGAGCTATCACCACGCTAGAAAAGTATAGCAACTGAGATTAAAATAAATCACCCAGAGTTTTGAAGGGTAGCATTTTTAAAGGTAAAAGCTCCAATTATCTGAAAATTTAGCTCAAACAAAAAGCCTGTTTGAAAATGCTCAATAAATGTGTTCATTAGATATTTAATTTTAGAAAGATAATCTCTGAATACTTACCTAAACGGCTACATAATTCTCTACTTGTTTTTAAATCCATTTTCTCCTGTTCCTCAAGTGAGACATCTGGATAAGACACTGTTTTTTGAAGTTTACCACTACTGTGAGCCTTCTCTGACTGTCTTGATATGGACTTACTTGCCTCTGTCTTTGTGAGCTCTTTAGACTGGGATACAGCAGAAGTAAGTGACACATTTGGGGCAACCACTTTATCACACATGTATAAGTAGTAGCTGAAAACAAGTAAAAGCAAAACAAGACATATATTACATATTACAATTAAGTAAAAATCAAATATGTAACATGCATTTCTGTGGTTAAACTTTTTTTTTTCTAACCAAAACAGACAATATTACAACTCAGAAAATAAAGGTCACAGTAAAGAATTCTTAGGAAAAAAATCAACACTTTAGGCATTACAAACAAAATTATAAGGGATTTTTTGTTAGTTTGCAAGTAACCCAGGCTGGAGCGTAGTGGTATGATCATGGCTCACTGTAACCTCTAACTCCTGGGTTCAAGCAATCTTCCTGCCTCAGCATCCCAGGTAGCTGGGACCACACATACCCATTTTTTTTTAGAGATAGGGTCTTGCTATGCTGCCAAGTTGGTCTTGAACTCCTGGGCTCAAGTGATACCCTCCCACCTCCAACTCCCAAAGCACTAGGATTACAGGCATAAGCAACCATAACCAGCTTGCAAGTAATTTCGTGTTTTTTTTTTTTTTTGGCAAGTAATTTCTAAGCACTAAAAAGATACACAGAAGGAAAATCACAGGCTCTTCTCCTTCCCTCAAAACCACCTGAGAATTAAAAGCATTAAGGACTTTATACAGCTGTGTAACAACTCTGAGCAGGTAAGTTTTACTCCAGAAAAAGAATAATCTATAACTACTTTGGAGGACTTTATCTTGCCCACCACCCTTCCAAAGCAGGGAATCTTTGCTTTGGTGAGGCTGCTTCAGTGGCAGACTGCAAGGCTATGTCCTGACTCACAGGAGGCTCAGTGAGGAGCTCCCAGGGCTCTTCTTATATACCTCAGAGAGAGAGCTCTGAATGTCGCCCAGCTACTGGGCAGTTCTTGTATCAAACCCCACTGAGCAATCTTCTTGAAATACTTCACTACTTCCTACTCATTTGATAAAATGGCAACAATAAATTATGCAAAACTAAGATAAAAGAGATTACCAATTTTGACCAAAACTCACATAAAATTGCCCAGTAGACTCATGTGAGAAGCTCATGGGACAAACAAATTTCAGCTAGATATTTAAGTACCATATTTGTAACTATATTCTGAGTAACACTTAGCAAAAAGATGTAACCATTTAAGACTTGACACTCTATCCCCTGAACTCCAGACAATCTCCTCTTACATTTCATTTTCTTTGTACTAAGACATCTATATTGTTCCCCTTTGTTAATAACATCCATTTTTGAGCCAAAATCTCAGTTTTCTGACAGGACAAGAAAATTGACAGGTTTAATAGGGCTCAAAAGACTTACTGCAAATACAACAGGTAAAGTAGTGATTGTACAAATGTAAATAAGACTCAGTCCCCTTATCACCATACTTGGAGGGAATACAGATTTACACTAGTAGAAAAAAATCTAGGGCTCAACAACAAAAAACTTACAATCTAGGGTGAACATTTATTGAAACAGTAAAACTCTGATTTTGAGAAGTACGGTTATTAAGAAAGCTCTTAGTTTCAAAAGAATTTCTTTTTAAAATATCAAAGTTGCAGGCCGGGTGCAGTGACTCATACCTGTAATCCCAGCACTTTGGGAGGCTGATGGCAGGTGGGTCACTTGAGGTCAGGAGTTCGAGACCAGCCTGGCCAACATGGTGAAACCTCGTCTCTTCTAAAAATACAAAAATTAGCTGGGCGTAGCAGCGGATGCCTGTAATCCCAGCTACTCAGGAGGCTGAGGCAGGAGAAATGCTTGAACCCGGGAGGCGGAGGTTGCAGTGAGCCGAGATCATACCATTGCACTCCAGCCTGGGCAACAGAGCGAGACTCCATCTCAAAAAAAAAAAAAAAAAATTGAAGTTGCGGCTCGGGGCGGTGGCTCACACCTGTAATCCTAGCAGCACTTTGGGAGGCCAAGGCTGGCAGATCACCTGAGGTTCAAAACCAGCCTGGCCAACATGGTGAAACCCCATCTCTACTAAAAATACAAAAAAATTAGCCAGGAGTGACAGCTGGCGCTCAGGCTCAGCTACAGGATGCCATGACAAGAGAACTGCTTGAACCTGGGAGGCAGAGGTTGCAGTGAGCCAAGATCCTGCCACTGCACTCCAGTCTGGGTAACACAGTGAGACTTTGTCTCAAAAAAAAAAAAAAAAAAATCAAAGTTGCACACCAAATTCTTGAAGAGTTTGTTTACCTCTTGAAGAAAAGTAAGAAATTAAAGGAGAACTTCCATTTTTTACTTGAGGGCAAAAAGAAAATGACCTATTTCTAGAAAACACATAGAAACACATAGTAAAGGTTATTTCAAATATTCAGTGCAATTTACAATTCATTTCATTTCAGATTCTTTCTTTGAAATTTTTTCTAATAAGAGTAACAATACAATTCACCTACCATTTCCCTATAATGATAAATAGAAACAAAAAATACATTAAATACCAATGTACTTATTTAAAAATAATTTTGAATTTTCTTTTTTTCTTTTTTTTTGAGACAGTTTTGCTCTGTCGCCTAGGCTGGAGTGCAATGACGCGATCTCGGCTCACTGCAAGCTCTGCCTCCCAGGTTCAAGCAATTCTCCTGCCTCAGCCTCCCGAGTAGCTGGGACTACAGGTGCCCGCCACCAGGCCCGGCTAATTTTTTTGCATTTTTAGTAGAGACAGGGTTTCACTGTGTTAGCCAGGATGGTCTCGATCTCCTGACCTCATGATCCACCCACCTCGGCCTCCCAAAGTGCTGGGATTACAGGCATGAGCCACCGCGCCCAGCCTAATTTTGAATTTTCAAAGATAATCTATGATTAACAAGAAAGCCTGAAAATAAAGAAATAAATTCGTGGTCAGGCACAGTGGCTCACACCTGTAATCCCAGCACTTTGGGAGGCTGAGGCAGGCAGATCACTTGAGGTCAGGAGTTCGAGACCAGCCTGGCCAACACTGTGAAACCCCATCTATACTAAAACTAAAAAAATTAGGAGGGCGTGGTGGTGTGAGCCTGTAGTCCCCGCTACTCGGGAGGCTGAGGCAGGAGAATCGCTTGAACCCGTGAGGCGGAGGTTGCAATGAGACGAGATCGCGCCACTGCACTCCAGCCTGGGTAACAGAGCAAGACTCTGCCACCAAAAAAAATAAATAAATAATTAAATTCCCATGTCCTAGAATAGTGCATGGCATATAGTTGTTGAATGAAGAAATGAATGAACAAACGAACAAATAAATACCAACTCACCTGGGGTGTAAAAATGAATGTGTCTGAGAAACATGGTCACCTTCCTGCTTTATAACAGGATACCATGACTGTAATTCCATTCCTGATGGTGCATCTGTCTGCAGAAAAACATGGAAGGGAAACATTTATTGAAGTAAAACTGTGAAGGTTAATTTTATGTGTCAACCTGACTGGGCCACTGGGTAAAGACAACTAACATTATTTAAGAGTCATCATGCCACGCACAGTGGTTCACACCTGTATTCCCAGCACTTTGGGAGGCAGAGTGGGGAAGATTCCTTAAGCCGTGGAGTCAGCCTGGGCAACATAGGAAGACCCAGTCTCTTTAAAAAAAAAAAAAAAAAAATTAGCCAGTTGCAGTGGTGTACATCTGTGGTCCCAGCTACTTGGGAGACTGAGGTGGGAGAATCCCTTGAGCCCAGGAAGTTGAGGCTTGCAGTGAACCATGATTGAACCATGATTGCACCACTGCACTCTATCCTGGGCAAGAGTGAGACCCTGTCTCAAGAGTCATCTTCCAATAAGGCAGTCTTCCCTTGAAGAAGCCTGATTATCACCTGAAACTCAGAGACACCCACATGAACTATCCCATCACAAGAACAGTTTCAGTATGCATGCTAACATGGAGTACCAGAAATGACTGCATCAAATTTCATACTTACGAAATCTATTTTATTTATTTATTTTTTTTTTTTTTTTGAGATGGAGTCTCGCTCTGTCACCCAGGCTGGAGTGCAGTGGCGCGATCTTGGCTCACTGCAACCTCCACCTCCCGGGTTCAAGCGATTCTCTGCTTCAGTATCCTGAGTAGCTGGGATTACAGGCACCCACCACCACACCCAGCTAATTTTTTGTATTCTTAGTAGAGATTGGGTTTTGCCATGTTGGCCAGGCTGATCTCAAACTCCTGACCTCAGGTGATCCCTGCTCCTCAGCCTCCCAAAGTGCAGGGATTACAGGCATGAGCCACTGAGCCTGGCCAGAAATCCATTTTAAATAATAGAACTCTATAAAGGTATAGCACTGGAAAATTGATTCTTATTCCTGTACTACAATCGGCTAGACTATACCCTATCCCTACAGTATTTGTTAGCATATTAGCTAGATACCATTCTACAGCAATACTTTGCCAAATTAAATCCAAAACCACATAGTTTGCTAACACTTGTCATTAAACTATATTTCCTAATAAATATAAAAAGGATTTTTTAATACTTAAAGATGAGCTATAACTAAAAATAAAGAAAAATAAGGAGAAAGGTAACTGGTAACTTAATGAACATCTACGGGCTGAGAACTTTATACATCATTCTTAATTCTAACAAATATCCCCCATTAAATAGGTATCATTACCATTTTACAGATGAGAAAACAACTGACGTTCAGAAATTGAAGAGGGGCTCGGTTCAGTGGCTCACACCTGTAATTCCAGCACTGTGGGAGGCCGAGGTGGGTGGATCACCTGAGGTCAGGAGTTCGAGACCAGCATGGCCAACGTGGCAAAACCCCATCTCTATTAAAAACGCAAAACTTAACGAGGCATGGTGGTGCGCTCCTGTAATCCCAGCTACTCGGGAGGCTGAGACAGGAGAATCACTTGAACCCAGGAGATGGAGGGTGCAGTGAGCCAAGATCATGCCACTGCACTCCAGCCTGGGCAACAGAGCAAGAATCGTCTCAAAAAACAAAACAAAACAAAAAAAGAAATTGAAGAGAAAAAAAGAATAAATGATCTGTGGTTACTAACTTCTCCCTTATTTTGGTTTACTTTATTTACACTTTGTCCTCCCTTCATCCCCTACATATTTCCTATTATACGAAATTACCTTGCTTTTGTGGGAAAAGGATACTTAAAAGGGGGGGCAAGACTCACTGGTAAGGGAAAGGGGAAAGAAGGAAAGGAGAGCTGAAATGTGGCATGGTTAAGGTGACCAACAAAAATAGGAAGTTAACAGACAAACCCAGGAAACTGAGGGAGAATGCGATTAGGAACGAGTTAAACAAGGGAAAAAACAAAAAAGAGAGCTGGATATTTCTCTAAACCCTACCTTTAAGAGGTTCCATGGCCAGGCGCAGTGGCTCATGCCTGTAATCCTAGCATTTTGGGAGGCCGAGAAGGGTGGATCACCTGAGGTCAGGAGCAAGACCAGCCTGGCCAACATAGCGAAACCCAGTCTCTACTAAAAATACAAAAATTAGCTGGGCGTGGTGGTACGAGAAGGGTGGATCACCTGAGGTCAGGAGCAAGACCAGCCTGGCCAACACAGCGAAACCCAGTCTCTACTAAAAATACAAAAATTAGCTGGGCATGGTGGTACGCACTTGTAATCCCAGCTACTCGGGAGGCTGAGGCAGGAGACTCACTTGAACCCAGGAGGCGGAGGCTGCAGTAAGCCGAGATTGCACCACCGCACTCCAGCCTGGGCAACTGAGCCAGAATCCATCTCAAGATAAAAAAAATAAATAAATAAATAAATAAATAAATAAATAAAAGAAGCTCCAATTCTGGTCGGGTGCAGCAGCTCATGCCTGTAACTTTGGGAGGCTGAGGGAGGTGGATCACCTGAAGTCAGGAGTTTGAGACCAGCCTGGCCAACATGGAGAAACGCCGTTTCTACAAAAATTAGCTGGACATGGTGGTGAGTGCCTGTAATCCCACCTACTTGGGTGGCCGAGGCAGGAGAATCACTTGAATCCGGGAGGCAGAGGTTGCAGTGAGCTGAGTTCGCGCCACTGCACTCCAACCTGGGTGACAGAGCAAGACTTTGTCTCCAAAAAAAAAAAAAAAGAGAGAGAGAGAGAGTCCAATTCCCAATTCAACAAATTAGGAAAGTAGCAAAGCTGTTTTGCCTGATGTCCCAATATTCCAGTTTGGAACCAAGAAACTAAGGACTGCAAACAGATCTCTGGATGTTAAGCAGTAGTGATTAAAACAAAATCAACTCTAAACTATCCAAACTCTGGTTTGATTACTGAGATCCTACTAATGGAGGAAATCAATGAGAATGAAGAAACCTGGGAGAGATCTGACAAGTAACCCACTGCCCTCAACAAAACAGGCTGAAAACAGAAAGGAAACCGCTCTTAGAATATGTATCTTAAAATCTGATCAGTCAGGAGATGACTTAGGGCCAACTAAAGGACAAAAATAGGCAGGGCACAGTGGCTCACGCCTGTAATCCCAGCACTTTGGGAGGCCAAGGCAGGCAAATCACGAGGTCAGGAGTTCAAGGCCAGCCTGGCCAATATAGTGAAACCCTGTCTTACTAAAAATACAAAAATTAGCCAGGTGTGGTGGTACGCACCTGTAATCCTAGCTACTCAGGAGGCTGAGGCAGGAGAATCGCTTGAACCTGGGAGGTGGAGATTGCAGTGAGCCGAGACGGCGCCATTGCACTCCAGCCTGGGTGACAGAGCAAGACTCTGTCTCAAAAATAAAAAAAGAAAAAAATATGTATGTGGGAGATCTTTATTTTTGTTAAGAATTAGGCCAGGCACAGTGGCTCACACCTGTAATCCCAGCACTTTGGGAGGCCAAGGCGGGTGGATCACGAGATCAGGAGTTCAAGACCAGCCTGGCCAAGATGGTGAAACCCCGTCTCTACTAAAAATACAAAAAAAAAAAATTAGTCGGGTGCGGCAGCAGGCGCCTGTAATCCCAGCTACTCAGGAGGCTGAGGCAGGAGAATCGCTTGAACTCAGAGGGCGGAGGTTGCAGTGAGCCGAGATCGTGCCACTGCACTCCAGCCTGGGTGACAGAGTGAGACTCTGTCTCAAAAAAAAAAAAAAAAAAAAAAAAGAATTATTGAGCAATGAATTTGAAATACTAATAAGACCTCAAAATTATAAGAAAAAAATTAATATTTTTAAAAGATTTAAGAGTTGAATATTCAGTGAAGGTCTCTACATGATATGTAAATGTGGAATTAAAAAAAAAAAAAAAGGCCTGGGCACAGTGGCTCATGCCTATAATCCCAGCACTTTAGGAGGACAGGAGAATCAACCGAAACAGGGGAACAGAGGTTGCAGTGAGCTGAGATCGCTCCACTGCACTCCAGCCTGGGCAACAAAGTGCAACTCCATCTCAAAAAAAAAAAGGAAAACAGAAAACGAAACATCACATTTTGAACTAATATTCAGAATCTGGGCAAATTCCACTGCTTATTTATAAAACAAACTGATCACTTATTTACATAGTTCCTCAGCCTATAGCTTAGTTATAGCAGTAAGAAAGGGAACTGACTTCTGGCAACAGAAATACTAAATGATAGATGCTAAGTGACAGCTGACAGCCTAAGGAGAGAGGAAAATTACAAGATGCAAACACAAAAACTGCTTCAAAAAGCAAGACAATCTGAGTAAAGGCTTTAGCATAGACCGGGGCAAATAATTTAATATATCTCAATTGTCCCCTACCCCAATTCAACAAAGTATGGTAATTAATGTTTAAGAATCTTGAGTTGGCCAGGCGCAACGGCTCACATCTGTGATATTACCTAGCACTTTGGGAGGCCAAAGTGGGCAGACTGCTTCAGCTCAGGAGTTTGAGACTGGCCTGGGCAACAAGGCAAAACCCCATCTCTAATAATAATACAAAAATTAGCCAGGCAAGGTGATGTGTGCCTGTAGTCCCAGCTACTTGGGAGGCTAAGGCAGGAGGATCACTTGAGCCCAGGAAACAGAGGTTGCAGTGAGCTGAGATTGCTCCATGGCACTCCAGCCTGGGTGACAGAGCCAGACCCTGTCTCGTTAAAAAAATAAAAACTCTTGAGTCAACGTGACATAGCTAAATTATGTTCTGTATACCACTTAGATTCAAAACTTTTTCAGACATTTTACAATTCATGAAAACAGTTTTTTAAAAAAACACAATGCTTTTAAAAAGTAGCTTAACGGGTAGAACATTTTGCACCCCAGCTCTACATGACCAAAGAGGTGTCAATGAACGAGGATAAGTTCATTCTAACAAATCAGTAAAATTTAAGATCAGTTTGAGGGCAGGAACAGTGGCTCACACCTGTAATCCCAGCACTCTGGGAGGCCGAGGTGGGTGGATCATTTGAGGTCCGGAGTTCGAAACCAGCCTGACCAAATGGTGAAACCCCATCTCTAATAAGAAAAAAAAAATTAGCTGGGCATGGTGGTGCATCCCTGTAATCCCAGCTACTCGGGAGGCTGAGGCAGGAGAATCACTTGAACCCAGGAGGTGGAGGTTGCAGTGAGCTGAGATTGCGCCACTGCGCTCCAGCCTGGGCAAGACAGTGAAACTCCGTCTCAAAAAAAAAAAAAAAAAAAAAAAGGAAAATCAGCTTGAATTAAATGAGAATTTCTTTTCTAGACATCATTTGTTAAAAAACAAAGAAAGCTCCTCTTTAAATAAGTGTTATATCTGAAAGAATTCTAGATGTACTGCCCAAGAAATCAATTGTTTCCAGATTTTTTAAATTAAAACTACTAAAATTGGCCCTACCCAGTGGCTCACACCTATAGCCCCGGAATTTTAGGAGGCCAAGGCACAAGGACTGCTTGAGTCCAGCAGTTCGAAACCAGCCTGGACAACATAGAGAGACCCCCATCTCTACAAAAAAAATTGTTTTTAATTGGCCAGCCGTGGTGACGCATGCCTGTAGTCTCAGCTACTCAGGGGACTGAGGTGGGAGAATCAGTTGAAGCTGGCAGGTTTGAGGTTGCTGTGAGCTATGATCCTGCCACTGCACTGCAGCCTAGGCAACAGTGTGGGGCTTGTCTCGAAAAAAGAAAAAGAAAAAAATATAAAATTACTAAAATTGATTTATATATTTCAAAGTTTTTCCTATAATGAATACTGGAATCTCAAATCTTCAGAATATCAAGCAAATTCTAAATTTGCTCAAAGACCTTGACTTGAAATCTGACTCAATTTTGATCAAGTTCATTTCAAAACCCTACAGTTTGATTTATAAGAGTAAGTTTTATCTTTACTCATGAGCCAAACCTAGCATCTATTTATTTCTGTGTCTCTAAACTTCAGGTGCCACCTTAAATAACTGCTAGCACATTCCTTTATTTTTAAACAGTCATCCCTCTTAGCTCCTATTCTTTATTTTATTTCCTAGTCTTGACCAACCCAGTAAGAGTCAGACTAGAGCTTCTAAGGAATCTTAAAGATCACCTAGCATAGTCCCCTAGCCAATGTCTGAATTCCCTATTTAAAATCCCTGTTAAGTGGCTACGCAGCCTCTGCTTAAACAGCAGCTTGAGGTCAAGAACCAGCCTTACCTTTGTATTTTTAATACCTAGCACTATATGCCTAGCATGTAGTAGGGACTCATCTATCAAATATCTATTATTTGTTGAATGAATTCTGAATGACAGTGCAGCTCATTAATTCCCAAGGTAGCCTTTTACAAGGTTATTCTGCTACCACAAAACTCTTGGTCTCTTTCACGTTTGATATCCCTCTACTCCATGAAGCACCAAGGAAGCCCAACAGTTTCTAAGGCTGCATTTTTCAGAGATATAAATTAAACAATACAAATGATGGGGACACGCACAACACTAACCATGATAAAATGTTGCAAGCTAATTTTACCTAATATGCTGTGGTAAGCCATAAACACATTTATAACAAATTATCCTAACTGTATGTTAAAAACAATTAAGAAAAGCACAATGTTTATGATACAACAAAACATTCAGAGGCATGCCAGATTTTCTCATCTATTCTGCATTTGTGTCAACATACAAATTAGGTTTTCAAAAAAAGAACAATATAATTAAATGGTTCAGCAGTAATGCTACTAATCAGGAATAAAAATTAGATACCAAATTATGAGTATCTACTGCCTGGTATCTTACCTTTCAACATAGGAATCATTTATTTTTATGTGTATTTAAATTTTAAAATACAATACATTATATAACTTGCCAAAGAAGTGGATCATTTAGTAGCTTAAGTTAGAGCCTTAACATTTCAAAATGCTCTTATCACCCAATTTCCCCATCATTATTTACCCCAAAATGAACAGATAGCATCCTCATTTCAAACACATAAGCAAAATTTCAGACACAAAAATTTCATTCCAAAGGTTCTTTCCTCTTAGGTCATAAAACTCCAAATGTCTATGAATGTACAATTTAAACAATTCCAAAATATACAGTAAAAAAATATAAAATAAGTAAAAACTAAGAAACATTTTATGAAAGTTTCTCTAAATTTCTGCACCTTCCTATGCTTATTCTGTATACGTGACCCTTTGATAATCAGATTTCCTAATGAAGAACCACTCTATTTTAGTGATACGATGCTAATCAGTCTCATAATGAAAAATAATTTAGAGAGCTTGATTTCATTTACAAAAAACTTCTTGTCACTCCTTTCTAAATACAAAAGCTATTCCACCTGCTCAGCATTATTCATACAAGTATTCGAATTTGTACCAAAAAAAACCCTTTAAAATTCTTAGACATTTTTTTTTTCCCTTGAGACAGGGTCTTGCTCTGGGGAACAGTGGTATAATTATAGCTCACTGCATCCTCCAACTCCTGGGCTCAAGGGATCCTCGTGCCTCAGCCTCCAGAGTAGTCAGGACTATTGGCCCATGCCACCAAGCCTGACTAATTTTTTTTTAATTTTTTTTGTAGAGACAGGGGTTGCACTATGTTGCCCAAGCTGGAACTTATTTTCAAATACTAAATCTTGCTTTTAGGTGGCACTCTAATTTTTAATTACAGCATCAGATTACTATTTTGATCTTTAATTAAGTCCTAATGACAAACATTAATGAACTAAAGAAACCAAGATAATGCCTCAAAACACTAGTGGGAATTCCAAAATTCCAACAAAAATCAGAATTAAGCCTTTTTACAAATATATGAGCCGGAAGGCCAGGCACAGTGACTCACACCTGTAATCCCAGCACTTTGGGAGGCCAAGGCGGAGGATCACCTGAGGTCAGGAGTTCAAGACCAGCCCGGCCAACATGGTGAAACCCTGTCTCTACTAAAAATATAAAATTAGCCAGGCATAAAGGCTGGGCACGGTGGCTCATGCCTGTAATCCCAGCTACTTAGGAGGCTGAGGCAGAAGAATCGCTTGAACCCAGGAGGTGGAGGGTGTAGTGAGCCGAGATCACACCACTGTACTCCAGCCTGGGCGACATAGCAAGACTATCTAAAAAATAAAAATAAATAAAAAAATTAGCCGGGCCTGGTGGTGCACGCCTGTAGTCCCAGCTACCGAGGGGGCTGCAACAAGAGAATCGCTTGAACCTGGGATGTGGAGGTTGTCGAGGTTGCTGTGAGCCGAGATCACGCCACTGAACTCCAGCCTGGGCGACAGAGTGAGACTCCGTCTCAAAAAAAAAAAAAAAAATTGAAAATTATTTCTAAAAACAGAATTTTTAAAGTGCTATAAGTGATAAAGATTAATTTTTAAATTTGTGTTCATAAGACAGAAGCAGTAGTGTAGGTTGGTAAATTTAATAGTCTATCTCCCTAATGGCCTATTTACACAAGAAATAAAATATAATGCATATGAAATGCACATTACTTTGTTCTGACCCAAAATAAATCATTAGCAACCTTACTAAACATATGACTGGATACACAGGAAGTGAATATATCTCATCAGGGTCTTTTTGCTGTGTATAATACTAAGACATTCAAGTGGTCAATAAATGATTTCAGAAGTATAAAGACACCCTACCAGATAGCTGCCAACAACTCTTACCAAAAGAAACAGAATCCCTCAGTACACTATCAGGTTTCCTTAATATTTCCAACATGTTGTGAGTTAGTGTTTCAATAAATGAAACAGAACAGTGTTACAAGGTAGCAAATAGCTACTTAGAGATTTCAAGGCTTAGTCTTGGGCCTCACTTCTCTGTAATCAATAGAATTGATCAAATTAATGCAAAACTGGGACAGTATGATCTAAGCATCTGCACTAACTGATCAAAAACAGATCGTCAGGAGTCACAGCAATGGCAGCTGTTTCCACAGGCTGAAAGATCATACCACCTACCTCACAAAGCCAATTTTAGGTTTGAGATACTTAAAAATGCTCACAGAAAATGCAAAGGCTCGAGTTCTTGTAATATTTTGCAACTATTATTTTGAGT